>NC_000004.12:81951684-82103199 GCF_000001405.40 Homo sapiens | reverse complement strand
AACCTATCTCCTGCATGTCCCTGAATATGGCCATTAAAAATATATGACAATATAGAGATAAATTTTGATAAGAGGGAATGAAAAGAGAAAACTTTCCCTTTGAGTTAAGGTGAACAGAATCTGGGCACTGACACCAACTCCAGAAAACTCAACATCACTATTGCTTTGCCAATTTCATTTGCTACCCAGAGTTCTAAGATGTTCAGAATCCTCCTATTTCTCCTTCTCTGCTGTTGACAGTCCTGATTAGTGGAAGCCTTGGAAATATCTAACAAATCCAAAAGGCTTTGTTTGTTTTGTGAGATGTTAGATGACTGTAACAGCCTATTTCCTGAAGTAGCCTGTATTTCCTCTGGATGTTCCTTTAGTTCTTACTGTACTGATAAAGAGCATTATGTCATTGTTATTCTGGCTGTGTCCTCTTCATTGGTGATGTACTACCAGAAGTCCTGGCTTTTTCCCCTCAACATGTTCAATGGAGACTGTGTCCTCAAAAGGATTTTTTTAAATCCTATTTTCTAATGAGAATAACACCACAATGGAAGACCTACATATTCCTACCAATTGTCTTAGAATCAAATAAATCGAAGGTATGGTAAATAATGTGTCATTAAAACAAAGAAATATCTTTCTATAAATTTTCCTTCGAATGCCCAGACATTCCAAGTGGCTCCACTAATTCAGGTCATATAAAGTAAGCATAAATAGCCAGGCACAGTGGCTCATGCCTGTAATTCCAGCACTTTGGGAGGCAGAAGCGGGTGGATCACGAGGTCAGGAGATCGAGACCACGGTGAAACCCTGTCTCTACTAAAAATACAAAAAAATTAGCCAGGCATGGTGGCGCGCACCTGTAGTCCCAGCTACTCAGGAGGCTGAGGCAGGAGAATGGCATGAACCCGGGAGGTGGAGCTTGCAGTGAGCCGAGACTGTGCCACTGCACTCCAGCCTGGGTGACAGAGTGAGACTCCGTCTCAAAAAATAAAATAAAACAAAACAAATAAATAATAAAAAAATAAAGTACGCATAAATGTATTGCATGTGTTGTTTATTCAAAGGGCCCCAAATATGCATAGAAAGTATAAATAGAGATTATAAAAATGCATCTCTACAGTGTGAGAAATTTGGCCATATCTAGACCTTTAGGGTTGAAGAAACTTGACAAAGATCTATCCTGCCTCATTTGATACATAGGGGAAATGAACCCCATAGCATTAAGTGACTTGCTTAAGGTCACCATGCTTACATTAATTCAGATGTAATTATTGACAGTTTTGCTGACTTTCTTAGAACTTAAGTGTAGTGTGGTGTGCTTATCAGAAGCCCTCTGTTACGTTATTATGGAGAGACTTATTACGGAAAGACTTATTACCCCAGCTGTAGGAGTGTTGGCTGTGGACAGCACTCAGCTTCTGGGACTTGCCCTTGGCTGCGGACTCTTGCTGAACTTGCTGACTCTTTACCCAAGGTCGCCCTCCTATCCCCAATGCGTCTAATGACTAGGGTGTCTGGTTGATGCAGCGGTATAAAGGCCTGGTCCCTTCAGCCCTAACGGGAACAACTCTGAAGCGTCATTAGGAGTAGCTGAAGCCATTGTTGTCCCTGCATTGTGACCCAACTCCTTCCTCTGCCCAATGCTGGTTTCCTCCCTCCCCTCCAGTCATTGATCTTGAGAGCACTGCCTAATAAGTGTCCTGCATGCAACTTCCATGCTTCTCAGGAAGCTGAACTGGGGCATTAGTCAAACCTTTGAAGGATATTTTGGATCAATCGTTCTTTAAAAGATTGTACCAAGAAGTTTGAACTGATATCTTAAACTCTTTGTACATTTTCTTGGAGAGTAAACATGTATTGAAAGTGGTAAGTTAACTCAAATTTAAAAATATATATGTATATAAATACATATGTTTTATATATAACATATTATATATATTTTATTATTGTTGTTATTTCTTTTTAGAGACAGGGTCCTGCCCCGCCACCCAGGCTGGACTGCAGCGGCTCGATCGTAGCTTTCTGCAGCCTCCAACTCCTGGGCTCAAGCAATCCTCTTTCTTCAGCCTCCCGAGTCACTGGGACTACAGGTATGCGCCACCACACTCAGCTAATTTTTTTTTTCATAGAGACAGGGTCTCCCTACATTGCACAGGCTGGTCTCAAACTCCTGGCCTCAAGAGATCCTCCTGTCTTGGCCTCCCAAAGCACTGGGATTACAGATACAGGCCACTGCACCCAGCCTATAACATATTATATACAACATATATTATCTACAAATTTATATGCACACATATTTCTAGTAATGCTGCAATATCTCAATAAGAACTTTAATTGGAACAATTTGGAAAGGTGTATTCTCTTAACTTACTAGTTTTTTTTTTTTTTGCATTCTTTCCTTTCCTTAAGCAACAAATTGACAGTTATCAAAGAAAGAAGAAAGCTCCCTGGGTTTTGTGTTTGGGAAGAAGGGCAGGATGATTGGTGGGAATAAGGAGATGGAAGACATTTATGATCTGGTCTTGTAAAAATTAAATCTGAGGATTAAAAAAGGAAATATACAGAAAATAAATATTTGTGGATACTATTATCTAGAATTAATATTTATTTTTAAATTGTCATATTTGATCTTTAAACGTATGAAATAAGATATTACAGAAACAATACTGAAGATTTTCTCTTAACAACCCTGTGGAGCCCTTGTCCTGTCTGCCCCCAGAGCTTGGCTGAATCACTGGCCAGCACAGCAGCAGATCCTTGACACCAAGAACACCGATGGGTAAACGTGGACAGGAGCCAAGGCTGAGGGTTTACTGTTTAGCATCAAATGAGCAGAGTGATGAAATCAGTGTTGAAAGCAGAACACACCTTCCCTGCTTATGTCCGTAATAATAATGGAGTTAGGAAAGTACAAATTGAATTCCAGACAATGAAACTGCAGTGAACAAACCCTTTGGGAAAATAGTTCTTTTATGATACTGCCAGTAACATTTTTAAAGTCTTCCAAATTTGCAGGGATTGCGTGGCTTGTGTAAAGGGGTTTGGAGCTCATAATGAATTCATAAATAACTCCTTACATCCCCAAGTAAATTTCTTCTCCTTCTTCTCTGTTCCAGTAAACTCACTGCTGAGTCATATGAATCAGAAACCTGGGACTCTTCCTAGAATTCTTCTCTGGCATGCGCAATTGATTTAGCCTCTAAAGAGTTGTTCAAATCCATTTCTTCCCCTTTATGCTCACTCTGTCCCTATTTGGACCCTCATCAGTTCAGGATTGTTCTATTGCAGAAGCTTCCAGATGGCCTTGATACTTTGGATCTCGCTCCCCTATCACCTACCCACCCCACCTCACATGCAGGATTTACACCACCACCATAGGTGCTTCCTAAATTGCTAATCTGGCAGAGCATACCTTAAACAAAAAAACTCATTGGCAGTTCTTCACTGCTCATAAATTAAATCCAAGCCACCCAGGGAGGGCTTCAGCCCCCTGCCTTCTGGCCTCTGCCTGGTCTTCAGCTTCATGCACCAAGTCTCCAGGTCCATATTTATATTCCTGAGCTGATTGTACACCCCGCACCCCCAAATATTTCACAGCTCCATGCCTTTCATTAGGCCCCTTTTTTTTGTCTTGTAATATAACCCTGGATTTGACTACTTCAGTTGGCTAGCTCATGCTTCAAGACTCAATGCTGGTGATTAAGGAAATCTTCCATCATCTCTTTCAGTGGGGCTCTCTATCCGTTTTTATGTCTGTCCCTCCTACTCTACTGTAAGCTTCTAATCTTATTAAACTCTCCATCCCAGCATCAAAAACAGTACCTACACTTAATTATGCTTATAAGTGTTCATTGAGTGTCAAGTCAGGGCGGCTGGGACAGAGGTTGAATTACTCTTCAGAAACCAGGAGTATGGCCAGATCTGAGCAGCATGTGAACTCCCTGTTGCTGGATGGAGCATAGGTGAGACAAGGGGGGCGTGCCCAACATGAGCAAGAACAGAAGCCTTTGCCTTACCTGTAGTGGTCTCCTCTCCAAGAAGAAGGTGGAGGGCTGGGCTCCAGGTGTGTTTGAGTATTTGCTGAATCTCTGAGAGCCTCTTGGGATCACTTGGGCTAGATCATTGGGGTTGGGAGAGATAGTGTGGACTTCATGTCATAGGGCAAGTGGCAGGGAAGGGTGAAGGTGGTAGGTGGGACAAGATGTCATTGAGCACTGCTGGAGTACAAAAGAACAGTAGCAAATTTTGCATGGAAGGGACTGGTCAGATGACATGTTCCTCCCTTTCTTTATCTTCTTCCTCTTCTTTTCCTCCTTTTCCCTTTTATTATTCTTTTCTCTTCATCTTCCTCTGCCCTTTTCCTTTAGTTTTTGCAGACATAATACATTCTGTATTCCAAATAACCTTTTAATAGTAGTGGTATATAAAAAAGGGTAGAGAACATCTGTAGAAGTGCAAAATAAATTTGGGCTCAAAAGGAAGTTTGAAATTAAAACGATGAAAAATAAAGTAGTTCATTCAAAGTTTGGCATCACCAGCTTTAAAAGCAACCATAAATTAAGCACTGCATTACACAAGGCACATTGCCTTGAAGCATAAATCTAGTATTATTCTCGCTACTAAAACAAAGTAAAAGTTCAAGATGATGGGTTATGAACCCAAATGGGAAAATATGTGGGGTTAGGTGATATGATATAATGCTTAATTTCCCTCAGCACCTGTCCATCATATATAAGGTAATGAGTTTCTTTGGTCGTTTGTGGATCATGATTTGCATAAAATAGTTATGACTTTTTGTCAATGGCTTGAGATGCTAAAGATGAATGCTAGACTTCAGAGCATTTATATCGCAGATAAAACCACCAGTGACAGGACCACATCAGAATTTCTGTTGAAATTGAATTTATGGTGTTTTTTGCATTTTCTGACTTTAGTTTAAAATATGTCCAAAGGCCAGGGGATGTAATTTCAGACTCTTCAAAGTAAGGTCTTTTGACCTGCATTAGAATAACCTGAAACGCCGTTTTGATCCCTGGACCCTACCACAGAGCTACAAGATCGGAATAGCAGGGAGAAGGTCTGGGCTCTGTGGTTTGTTTGAAAGCAATCAGGGCCCATTTTCTGAGGCATGCTTACTTAGAGTCTTCTGATTGTGCATTATGAAAGCGATGGCTGGTATCAGAGTAGCATGGACTGAAGTGATGAAACATACTGTAAGCTCCAAATGATATTGGATGGAAGATATAGTTTGCTGCCACAAATGGCTGAATTGGAGTTAGAAAGTATAAATGTGGTACTCTTTGTGCCAGACAAATGGCAAAGCTAGTGAGCTTCAAGGAGACTGACTTAGTGGTGGGGAAGGGCTCCTGGGTGGCCATGGGAAACTCTTAACGTGGTGAGATGACAAAGCAATGGCTCAAACAGTGTCATGACCCAGGAGGTCATGGGTCTTAACCACTGCCAGAGGGTCTTAACCACAATTGTACTTGGCTGCCTGACTCATGCACGGGAGGTTTTTTTCTGAGCATAGTCCTGACCTTGAAGAAAACCCCACAGGGAAGTGGGCTGTTTTGTAGGCTGTGAATTGCATCTGAGCCGCAGCCAATTTCATCTGCTGCTCTGTACAGCTCCTGGGCCTTCAGCTAGCCAGCCCTTCTGCCACTGTGGTGAGGCAAGCCTGCAGTAAAACTGTGGTGCCAGATGCATATGCAGTCGGCCCATTTTCCTTGGTGCGCGAAACAGAAAGTCATATCATGATCCCTCTTCATGGCTTTCAACCCGTTTGGTGGTATCTAAGAAGCATTTAAACATATTTTCCTGCTCTGATCCATTTCTTTTCCTGACAACTTGAACAGCACTATACCTATTATATAACTCCTGTATCTAGCAACATAATTCCTAATAAAGTATATCAGTGAAAAGTCACTCTCTATTTTATTTAATAGAAGCATTACTGTTCATGATATAGTCACATGACATCTTAGAAAAAGATATTAGATTTATTCCCCAAATTTTTCAGGTTACTCTAACATTGGGAGTATGTGAACACTCACTACTAACTTAGAAACTGTTGCTTCTCCACTGTGCTGCCCAGATTCATCATGAGCAGAGTGAGAGGGTTACGGCTCACTTGTTTAAGCTCTGGATGTTTCTTTCTGGCTACAAGAGAAAACATTTGGGTGCCCTGAGGTCTTGGACATGCCACCATCCTGACCTCATAGAGAGCCTAGCAGCTCTGCTTTGGTGCCAATCAAAGTTAGAACATTCTTGCAGACCTCCGATTGTGGTGCTTACATACACTTCTAGGGGATGCAGCAAGGCTGCCCACACTGAGTTGGGAGGGAGGATAGAATAAGGCAGAGAGCAAAGGGCTTCTACTTCAGGGTCTCTGACAGTGTTGCCCACTGGTTCCTGCCTTCTTGCTGAATCTCTCTGATAATTCTGGACTCTGGGCTTTGTCTGTCTAGAGCTATGGCACCAATTAGTGCCTCCCGGCTTACCTGACCTCCCTGGGATGCACTTCTTTTTTAATTTAATTTTTAATTTTATGGATACATAGTAGGTGTATGTATTTATGGGGTATGAAATGTTTTGATACAGGAATGCAATGAGTAATAATCACATCATGGAAGATAGAGGATCCATTCCTTCAAGCGTTTATCCTTTGTGTTACCAACAATCCAATTATACTCGTTTAGTTATTTTTAAATGTACAATTAAATTATTATTGACTACAGTTACCTTGTGCCATCAAATAGTAGATCTTATTCATTCTTTCTAACTATATTTTTGTACCCATTAGCCATCCCCACTTCCTCTTCACCCCTCCCACTCCCCTTCCCAGCCTCTGGTAACTGTGCTTCTACTTTCTATCTCCATGGGTTCAATCGTTTTGATTTTTAGATCCCACAAATAAGTGTGATGTTTGTCTGGCTTATTTCATTTAGCATAATGACCTCGAATTCCATCCATGTTGTTGCAAGTGACTGAATCGCGTTCTTTTTATGGCTGAATAGTACTCCATTGTGCATAAGTACTACATTTTCTTTATCTACTCATCTGTTGATGGGCACTTATGTTGCTTCCAAATCTTGGCTATTGTGAACAGTGCTGCAATAAACATGGGAGTGCAGATATCTCTTTGATATGCTGATTTCCTTTCTTTTTAGTATACACCCAGCAGTAGGATTGCTGGATTATATGGTAGCTCTATTTTTAGGTTTTTGAGGAACCTCCATACTGTTCTCTATAGTGGTTGTATTACTTTACATTCACACCATCAGTGTATGAAGTTTCCCTTTTTTTTCACATTCTCGCCAGCATTCATTATTGCCTGTCTTTTGGATAAAAGCCATTTAAATTGGGGTGAGATTATATCTCATTGTAGTTTTGATTTACACTTCTCTGACAATCAGTGGTGTTAAGCATCTTTCATAGACCTGCTTGCCATTTCTGTGTCTTCTTTTGAGAAATGTCTGTTCAGATCTTTTGCCCACTTTTAATCAGGTTGCTAGATTTTTCCCTATTGAGTTGTTTGAGCTTCTTTATTTTTTTTCTTGCTCTGTTGTCCAGGCTGGAGTGCAATGGTGTGATGTTGGCTTGTTGCAACCTGCGTCTCCCGGGTTCAGGCAGTTCTCGTGTCTTAGCCTCCTGAGTAGCTGGGATTACAGGCATGCATCACTGCATCTGGCTAATTTTTGTATTATTATTATTATTATTATTATCTTTTTTTTAAGTAGAGATGGGGTTTCACCATGTTGGCCAGCCTGGTCTTGAACTGCTGACCTCAAGTGATCCACCTGCCTCGGCCTCCCAAAGTGCTGGGATTACAGGTATGAGCAACCATGGCTGGCCTGAGCTTCTTATTTATTCTGGTTTTTAATCCCTTGTCAGATGGGTAGTTTGCAAATATTTTCTCCCATTCTGTGGTTTGTGTTTTTACTTTGTTGACTGTTTCCTTTGCTCATGGGGTGCTCTTCTTATATGGCTGAATCTTGCAGTCTTGTTCACCTGCCCTTGCCTCTCTCATTGGCAGTATCTATCAGATCCCCACCTAGGAAAGCAGGCCTCGGGTACTGACCCCTCCTGGCTCTCCAGCTTCTGTTTCCATCAGAACCTAGATCTTACTGAAACCTTCACTTAAGCTCTATGTCAGCAGGCACTATGTTGATTTGCTCACTCTCATATTTCCTGTGTAGTAGCTACCCAATTATTGTTGTTCAAGTGTGGATGAAGCTGTGTACAGACTTTGGCATTTTAAAAAGGAAAACTGTATTTTAG
Source organism: Homo sapiens (assembly GCF_000001405.40). Classification (NCBI taxonomy): domain Eukaryota; kingdom Metazoa; phylum Chordata; class Mammalia; order Primates; family Hominidae; genus Homo; species Homo sapiens. The sequence goes on along the minus strand of NC_000004.12, from coordinate 82,094,925 downwards.
GGTTTGGAACCTTGAAGGAAAATCATTTGGAGAAAAGAACATGAAAGCTGTGATTCCATTTCTGTTTACAGTAATTCATGTAGTTCCCTGTAGTTATCAAGAGATATTTCCTACATTCTTTTCAGCTCTTAGGAATAACAAATAAAAATAGATTTGCCCTTCCAAAATACTGACTTAATAGCATTATTCCTCCCACACCCTCTGTAATATGAACTATACATAGAAGGGTAAAAAAAACCTCTCTAAATCAGATACTTAAGTTGAATAATACTGAGGCTTAAAATCTAGAAGAGGCCACTATAATTGATGATTCTAACTCCAAAATAAACACTCTTATCCCTCCCCCCAACTCAAATGTCATAAGAGCCAACTTTTCCACCTAAAATTTCTTGGTAAACAAGATTGAAGAATGGAACGAATAGATACATATTTTTTTCATCCCAATTCTTATATATTATAAAGTGAGAGGAAAATCACTTATGACCCTGCTGCCTTAACTTCTTGCAACTATGTTCCTAATATTGGGATATTAGTGTCTTATCTGAATTAAAGCCCAAGCTGAACTAGCATGGTGCTAATTCATCCTTTTTTATTTTCTGTTTTTAACTGATTTAATTTGACTTCTTGTTGGTGGTCACTGCAGCATGGCAAATGAACTGAGGTTGATATCACTAACAAAGTTTTTCAAGAAATAAATTAGAAATTTTCTTCCTAAATAGAAGGAACTAGAGAAAGCAAACAGACTCTTAAGACAAAGCCAAACCTGGATAAGAACATATGTTTTTACATCATTTTTAAAGGAGCAGAATATACCTTAAGATAAGAGGAGCCCAGTGAATCCTTAAGTTGGTCTCTGTATGTGTTTATGTGGGAGCAGGATGGACAGAAAAGAGATTCTACTATCTTTCCTAGGACAGTTTCAAGGAGCAACCATCTTAGTAGTGATTAGTACTTGTAGGAAGCTGTAAGTTTGCAAATGTTTTCTCATCTGAACTGCACAGCAATCTTGTGATGTAGTAGGATAGGCAATATTGTTTCCTAAACTCATCTTATACATAAGAAATGAGTGCTCAGGGTGTTGTAAATCTCAGCAGTAAGTAAGTATTGGAATTGAGAATCATACATCTTGCTCATTTCCACACACCACCTCGTGAAATATTGACTGCCATAGTTCTTAGGAGGCCGACCAATCTCATTAGCCATGGATGACCTGAAGACTGGGGTTCGTATGAGATATTTACTTTGCATGCAGTTTTTTGGGGAGTTTCTTTTCTTTTCTTTTTTTTTTTTTTTGAGACTGAGTCTCGTCGTATCGTCCAGGCCAGAGTGCGGTGGTGCGATCTTGGCTCACTGCAACCTCCACCTCCCAGGTTCAAGCGATTCTCCTGCCTCAGCCTCCCAAGTAGCTTGGATCACAGGTGCCACCACCACACCCAGCTAATTTTTTTTTTGTATTTTTAGTAGAGACGGGGTTTCACCATATTGACCAGGCTGGTCTCAAACTCCTGACTTCAAGTGATCTGCCAGCCTCGGCCTCCCAAAGTGCTGAGGTTACAGGTGTGAACCACCGCGCCTGGCCAAGTTTCTTTTTTTTACATGTATTTAGGATGATTGCCCTAGCATCTATTGCTTATTTGGTCCAAATTCTGGAATAAACATTGGAATAAACCCCTACCTGGAGTTTATTCAGATAAACTATTATCTTACCTGGAGTTTATTCACATAAACTATTATATTTGATATAAATTATGTCAAACCTACAATAAAGAGAAATTTGAAGGATGTTTAAATTCGGTTTGATTTTCTTTGGATGCTTTGTGTTCTTGGGTTTAAATGGTGACATAATTCACACTGTTCCTGACAGGAAGTAGAACGGAAGTCTCATGGCACTGCCAAAATATATCATTTTCCTTTTAAACTCCTTACTTATTTGAGTTTTGCTTTTTTTCTGTTGGAGAAAGAGACATTAAAGCAGATTTACTCTATAGCTAATTCTTGGTTATATTTGCCCACAATCCATTACCTGCAATTCTGAATTCCAGAAAGCCCTGAAAATCCTAAATTTTTCTGTAAGTTTGGTACAAACTTATTTGGTGGAAATACCAGACCTAAACTAAAATGAAGCTATTTCTAGTTATTTATGTCATTTAATGTGGATATTTATGTGTTTTGCTACAGAAATACTAGTACAAGGTGCTGTTCAAATCCCATTCAGGGTATTACCTAAATATGATTGCACTATAAAATCAAAAAATTCTGAATTCTGAAATGCATCTAGCCCCAAGGTTTTCAGGAAAGAGATTCTAGACTGGTTCTGAAGAAGAAAAGGGAGAATATGTGTGGATAACACAGAACAGTGGAGAAGTGCAGTATGGTAGATTACATTACCTTTCATCCACATGAGTGCCTTCCATGGTGGAAGATTACACATCTCTACCCTGTTGGACTCAGATACACCCATATGACTTTCTTTGGCAAATAAATAAGTAGCAGAAGAGATGAGCCACTTTCAGACAAAGTTTTAAGAGCCAATATGTAGCTCTCCATTCTCTCTTTTCCCTCTGCATGAGCTCAGCAACACTCCAGATGAAGGCTGGAGTTCCGCCTCCTAGGTCCCCAGTGAAGCCTGACATGGAGCTGTAGCTGATCTGCACTCAAGATGTGGCAAGAATGAGAGAGAAATCTGTGTTGTTTAAGCCTCCACAATATAACTTAGACCATCTTCACTGACACATACAAAATCATATGCCCGCTGGGATGGAGGCATCCATTCATGTAACATCTGTGGGCACTGACACAGTTAAGGTGACCAACACAGTCATTGTCCTCTACGGGTCTGCAGCCTTGCTACATAGACGAATGGTTCAGGAGATGCCGTATCAGGCCTGACCTGCAACACAGCCATTTTTCCTTCCCAACCCCAGTTCTGGTTCCCACGTGTAGGCCCAAGGCCAAATGTCCCCTGACTTTAAGTATCCAAATACGTGCTTAGATATTAATACATACATTTTTTTTTACCTTACTGGATTTAATAAATTACATAAGTAACTTGTGCTTATTATCATAAATGTAACACAAAAGTATACATAGAAAAAAGATTATTCTCCCTTCGTCTTCTTCCTCCAAGGCCACCTCTAAGGTAACCAATGTTAATAATTTGTGTACCCTTACATACCTTTTTCTGTACAAGGCAAATTTATATAGATATGTAGGGTTACTTTTTCATATTATTCTACTTGGAGCATTACTTTGCCAAGGACAGCCATCCAATTCAGTTATTGGATCTAATTAGGCTTAATTAAGTCTTTTAATTATTAATAGCTTTCTTTATTGAATGTTTAGGATGTCCAAATTACTCTTACAAAGACTTTACTATATTGAATCCTTTCAGCAACTCTGTGAAGTAGCTACTATTATTATTGGCATTTTCAGTTTGAGAATGAAAATTGAATAATTTGTGTGTTACCGAGCTTAGGAAGTGGTAGAGTAAGAAACAGGCAGTCTGGCTTTTAATCTCTGAGTTATGTTGCTTCTCTAATTGCAAAATAATCCATGAATGAAGGGGCAATAATTTATTCAATCATTTCCCTACTGATTGGAGATTGAGGTGATTTCCTCTCCTTTTTTTTTTTGCCACTGTCAATGATACTGAAATAAACAATGTCGAAATACATACTGATACTCTTATTTCTGTTGAAAAGAATACCACATTGATTTTTTTCTTGTGCTTAATTTGAGAAAATTCTACCCACTCTGGCATTCTCAGTCCTGGTTAGGCAAGGGGTCCTGGTTCTCATAATTCCTACTCCAAGAACCAGTTAGGAATTCTCGTTTCACCAGATCCTCTGAATACTCTCTCCAGTCCAGGACAAAGTGGAGAACCCTATTTAAGTCAATGCAGCCTACATTTAGAAACAGGAGGAAGTGAACTGTAAGGGATTATCTTCTCCTAGATGTGTCAGATGCAATCACACGACATGAATTTCTGAAGTGAAGTGAAATATTTGTTTTGATTGTTCACTGATTAAGAATACACTCTAATGCACAATCTTGACAGACATCTAGGGCAGCTATTCTTACTGTAAGAATCTAGGTCAGGGTTGCCCAACTTCTAGTGTAGCAGTCTCATTTCATTAAGGAATTATGCAAAGAAACCTCAGTTCAGTCTGTACAATTGGTGGCTTCATCTTCAGTATTTAATATTACAGAAGCCCCAGCAGTTGTCAATGTTATCGTCCATTGATTTGAATGTTTTCTTCCTTGTCGCTCAGTATAGAGTTTGGAAAAGCAATTAGCTGGGTACTTAAAAAAATGGACATACCGTATTGAAAGTGGACAAATAATTTAATATTAAAATAATTAAGATATTTGTGTCAGACTAAACCCCACATTTTGAAGATGCTTAAATTGTAGTTTTGCAAAAACCTGAAAATGATTTAAATGGAAATCATTAAAAATCTCTAGAGGTATGTTTTAAAAATTTAATCTAGAAGTACTACAGGGTCGGTATTTATCAACAGATTGCTACAATGTGCTACTGTATGAAAATTGGACAGTGAAAGAGACTCGGCTACTTTTAGATACATTATTCAGTGCAATGCAGAGAACAAAGTCATAGCATAAATTGAGAGATTTTGCACTTGTGGCTGGGAAGTGTATTTTTGTGTTGGATAGGGTTTGGGAGTAGATAAGCATGTGTTCTCCTTTAAATTGGTTCTTTTAGTATATGTAGGCTTTAGGATAACCAATAGTCTGTCTCTACTGTATGTATTCGAAAAAAAATGCATTCAAGATCTTAAAAATTGATTATTGCATGTTTAAGAAATTCTGCAAAGCATCACAGCATCTCTGTCCTGGAACGCTAGTTTGTTCATTTCTCCCCTCAACATTCCCTTCCATTCTGTCTGCATTTCTACTAATGTAGGGGAAGGGCACAGGACCATTTAGGTATGAAACCTCACACAAAGCATTCAGGATGGAGGCCTCAATCAGTTCTTTTACTCTGTTCATGTTAGGGTGGGGAAGGTGACAAATATTTTAACCAATCCACATTATCTTGAGTATCACTATTTTCACTAGCAGAAGCCTGTTTCCACATTCATGGTGCTGATTAAGATGACTCCTAATTTAACCAAAAGAACTCTCTTTCTGAAATTCTTTATTGTAATTAGCAAAGGCCAGGTGATGGCCAAAATATGAATACTCGAAGTGCAAGCACTAGTCCCGCTGGTGTGTGGCCTTTTTTTTTTTTTTTGACATGGAGTCTTGCTCTGTCGCCCAGGCTGGAGTGCAGTGGTGCAATCTCGGCTCACTGCAAGCTCTGCCTCCCAGGTTCACTCCATTCTTCTGCCTCAGCCTCCTGAGTAGCTGGGACTACAGGTGCCCACCACCATGCCCAGCTAATTTTTTGTATTTTTAGTAGAGACAGCGTTTGACCATGTTAGCCAGGATGGTCTTGATCTCCTGACTTTGTGATCCGCCCACCTAGGCCTCCCAAAGTGCTGGGATTACAGGCTTGGTGTGTGGACTTTTACCCTATTAATGTGGGTTCCTGACTGGGACAACTGACTGTCTTTGAGTAGAGATTAGGCTAACTGATATGGTTTGACTCTGTGTCCCTACCCAAATCGCATCTTGAATTGTAATCTCCATGTGTCGAGGGAGGATCTAGTGGGAGGTGATTGGATCATGGGGGCCGTTTTCCCCATGCTGTTCTCATGGTAGTGAGGGAGTTCTCACGAGATCTGGTGGTTTTGAAGGTAGCAATTTCCCTTGTGTTCTCTCTGTCTCCTGGTGCCTTGTGAAGAAGGTGCCTGCTCCCTTTTCATCTGCCATGATTGTAAGTTTCCTGAGGCCTCCCCAGCCAAACCACTGCTCAAGGAAATAAAAGAGGCTACAAACAAATGGAAGAACATTCCATGCTCATGGGTAGGAAGAATCAATATCGTGAAAATGGCCATACTGCCCAAGGTAATTTACAGATTCAATGCCATCCCCATCAAGCTACCAATGCCTTTCTTCACAGAATTGGAAAAAACTACTTTAAAGTTCATATGGAACCAAAAAAGAGCCCGCATCGCCAAGTCAATCCTAAGCCAAAAGAACAAAGCTGGAGGCATCACACTACCTGACTTCAAACTATACTACAAGGCTACAGTTACCAAAACAGCATGGTACTGGTACCAAAACAGAGATATTGATCAATGGAACAGAACAGAGCCCTCAGAAGTAATGCCGCATATCTACAACTATCGGATCTTTGACAAACCTGAGAAAAACAAGCAATGGGGAAAGGATTCCCTATTTGCTAAATGGTGCTGGGAAAACTGGCTAGCCATATGTAGAAAGCTGAAACTGGATCCCTTCCTTACACCTTATACAAAAGTCAATTCAAGATGGATTAAATACTTAAATGTTAGACCTAAAACCATAAAAACCCTAGAAGAAAACCTAGGCATTACCATTCAGGACATAGGCATGGGCAAGGACTTCATGTCTAAAACACCAAAAGCAATGGCAACAAAAGCCAAAATTGACAAATGGGATCTAATTAAACTCAAGAGCTTCTGCACAGCAAAAGAAACTACCATCAGAGTGAACAGGCAACCTACAAAATGAGAGAAAATTTTCGCAACCTACTCATCTGACAAAGGGCTAATATCCAGAATCTACAATGAACTCAAACAAATTTACAAGAAAAAAACAAACGACCCCATCAAAAAGTGAGCGAAGGACATGAACAGACACTTATCAAAAGAAGACATTTATGCAGCCAAAAGACACATGAAAAAATGCTCACCATCACTGGCCATCAGAGAAATGCAAATCAAAACCACAATGAGATACCATCTCACACCAGTTAGAATGGCGATCATTAAAAAGTCAGGAAACAAGAGGTGCTGGAGAGGATGTGGAGAAATAGGAACACTTTTACACTGTTGGTGGGACTGTAAACTAGTTCAACCATTGTGGAAGTCAGTGTGGCGATTCCTCAGGGATCTAGAACTAGAAATACCATTTGACCCAGCCATCCCATTACTGGGTATATACCCAAAGGACTATAAATCATGCTGCTATAAAGACACATGCACACGTATGTTTACTGCGGCATTATTCACAATAGCAAAGACTTGGAACCAACCCAAATGTCCAACAATGATAGACTGGATTAAGAAAAATGTGGCACATATATACCATGGAATACTATGCAGCCATAAAAAATGATGAGTTCATGTCCTTTGTAGGGACATGGACGAAATTGGAAATCATCATTCTCAGTAAACTACTACAAGAACAAAAAACCAAACACCGCATATTCTCACTCGTAGGTGGGAATTGAACAATGAGATCACATGGACACAGGAAGGGGAATATCACACTCTGGGGACTCTTCTGGGGTGGGGGGAGGGGGGAGGGATAGCATTGGGAGATATACCTAATGCTAGATGACGAGTTAGTGGGTGCAGCACACCAGCATGGCACATGTATACATATGTAACTAACCTGCACATTGTGCACATGTACCCTAAAACTTAAAGTATAATTAAAAAAAAAAACCTCTTTTCTTTATAAATTACCGAGCCTCAGATAATATCTTTATAGCAGTATGAAAATGGACTAATACACTAACACATTCTTGTGTTCCATCATCTGCGCTGAAGACTTTTAAAGTCTTCTTGAACCATGATGGTCTTATGCAAGCCCTTAAACTCAGCTGCTCTCCATGTTGTTGCTGTCTTTCCATATTCATGCAGATTTTGCCTTTGGCCGCATACTCATTTCCATTTCTAGCACAGCTGCTGCCCCAGCTTCACTCATGACAACAGTTCTCTTTTTATACCTAAGTGGATGAAGTGCAGTAATCTCATGGTTACTTTTTTGAGTGATCATTTAAGTACTTTATTTACTATTGCCATTGTGCTAAATGCAGTAAGTTTTGGCTTAAAAGATGTAAAGATCTGCTGAAACAGAAAAAATATTTGGAAGTTTCCCTTTGGTGTCGAAAGGTTTCCACCTTAATATTTTAGGGTTCTGCTTCCTTTCACTCTAAAGTTAGGGGTTTGGACCACAGTAGCCCTTTCTTCCCTGTAGCTTTGATAATCTGAGGTGGTCGTCCTTGCCCCAGCAGAGGCTTTCTTAGGCTAATCTGGCAGCTGCCTGAGAGGTAAAGCCATAGAATGGGGCCTGCTTTTTTTTTTTTTTTTTTTTTTTTGAGACGGAGTCTCGCTCTGTTACTCAGGCTGGAGTGCAGTGGCGCGATCTCGGCTCACTGCAAGCTCCGCCTGCCGGGTTCATGCCATTGTCCTTCCTCAGCCTCCAGAGTAGCTGGGACTCAGGCGCCCACCACTATGCCCGGCTAATTTTTTGTATTTTTTTTTTAGTAGAGACGGGGTTTCACCATGTTAGCCAGGATGGTCTTGATCTCCTGACCTCGTGATCCACCCGCCTCGACCTCCCAAAGTGCTGGGATTACAGGCGTGAGCCACCGCACCTGGCCGGGGCCTGCGTTTTAAAAGACCTGCTGACTCAGGTATGGGTCTTTTCCCTCATGATGGTGAATCAGAGAATTCTTGTCATCACTATTTGATAATCCAGTCAGCTCTGTTCTGGTAGTGACAAATGGATGTGTACAGAAATAGTACCAAGACTCTGCTACAGGTGGGGCATCCTTTAGACAAGGAAATACATCAAAGGAGGAATCTGTGGGATTCAACTCCCTTCCTTCAGTTTTTATGCAGACACTGATCAAAAAAACATGATGAGTGTACCACATCTCTCCATCTTTGCTTTTAAATTGAGTTCTGCTCTCTTAGCAGGTTGCATAATTTGTTCAAGGCAGCAAAGACTCTTTGCCTTTGAATATTGAGAGTTGTCTTACAGGAATAATGGGGCTGGCATTGATGTCTCAATTTAATCTTAATTAAATATTATTTCATAATAGGCCTTGCTTTAATGTCCATTTATTCTTTAATGATAGAGTTATTCCTCATTATACAGAAATTCGTGATAGTGAAAATTGAAAGAACTTACAGATATATTTATTTGATACACACTATCTCTTGATTAAATTCAAGGAATGTGCAGATTCCTTGTCTATGTTCTAATAAAAGGACTCTATTTGTTCATTTGTTTCTGTATTTTTTTTGTTGCTTTTCTCTCTGTTGTCTCTTTAGTTCCTGTGATTTTGTTCATTTCAAAAAAGAGAGCAGCTTAGACCACGTGGTTGGGTACTGTCTGAGCCTACTAGTTACTAGAAAATATAGGGAGGAGGATTGGCAGAAATTGGCCACTTTTCCAGTCCATTTTTTTTTTTCCTGGAGAGTTTAGTTTAACTCTCTGCTTTTCCTTTAAGTCATCAAGCCGTCAGGTTAAGCAAAGACAAACCACATACACTTATAGTCATATTTTGATTATTCTTAATTTATCAGATATTTAAAATTCAAGGACTTTTTTCTATAATCTTAAATTGTAATTTTTTTTTTTTTTTGAGACGGAGTCTCTCTTGCCCAGGCTGGAGTGCAACGGTGAAATCTCGGCTCACTGCAACCTCCGCCTCCTGGGTTCAAGTGATTCTCCTGCCTCAGCCTCCCGAATAGCTGGAATTACAGGCGCGCGCCACCAGGCCTGGCTAATTTTTGTATTTTTAGTAGAGACGGGGTCTCTCCATGTTGGTCAGGCTGGTCTCGAACTCCTGACCTCGTGATCCACCCACCTCGGCCCCCTAAAGTGCTGGGATTACAGGCGTGAGCCACTGCGCCCGGCTTAAATTGTAATTTTTATTATGTTTTAATTCAAACTTTCTCTCTCCCCACCTCCTGCTCTTATCTTTTGGAAGAATATACCTTTCTTTGCCTTTTGTTGCTGACTCTGAAGATGTCTCATGACACTGCAGTTCTTACTTAAATTCATGTTTGGTCAGTCTGTTTGCTTTCTCAGGCCTACTCTTTGCCTTTTCCCACTGTGTTCTGTGCCCTGGCAGTTGGCCTACTTCAACAGGCTACCTCACATTCTAGCTTTAGATTGGCTTGGCCAGTGTGAGTGTTGGCGGGGATTAGAGGGAGGAAGGAGCCTGAGGCCTGAAGGTGACCCCCCTTCCCTCTCTTTGTAGTGTCCCATGGGTTGGCTGTATTTCTGGAGTGGGTTACAGTTTCTGAAAAATGCCCTTTGCCACACACCTTGTCTCCAAATTCTAGTAGCTACATTGCCCCTTTAGGCTTATGGGTATAACAGGGACCACTGATACTAATTCTGCATTGTCTCTTAAGGTTTCCCTACCTTCTGTAGACAGACCCTTTATTACACTTTCCAATTGGAGTTTGCCATCAGTTTCTTGCAGGAGTCCTGATATGGGTTGACTGTGTCCCCACCCAAATCTCACCTTGAATTGTAATAATCCCCATGTGTCAAGTGTGGGCCGGGGGGAGATAATAGATTCATGGGGGCAGTTTCCTCCATACTGTTCTTGTGGTAGTGAATAAATCTCATGAGATGTGATGGTTTTATAAATGGGAGTTCCCTTATTCAAGCTCTCTTGCCTGTCTCCATGTAAGACATGACTTTGTTCCTCATTTGCCTTCTGCCATGATTGTGAGGCCTCCTCATCCATGTGGAACTGTGAGTCAATTAAACTGATTTCCTGCATAAATTACCCAGTTTCAGGTATGTCTTTATTGGCAGTATGAGAATGGGGATATTACCAACTTTACAGAATTGTTACAAAAATATGTATGAGTTCTCAAAAATGTTATTGTATTAGCTTGAATATAATATGTTTAATGTAATGTGATGTAATATAATATACTATAATAATATAATGGTTAAGTTCCCCTTCAATATACACTGAATACCTTCCTACTGGTAAAGTCTGGTCAATTACCAAGCAGTCATTTTTTTTTGAGATGGAGTCTCGCTCTGTCTCACCCAGACTGGAGTGCAGTGGTGCGATCTTGGCTCGCTGCAGCCTCTGCCTCCCAGATTCAAGCGATTCTCCTGTCTCAGCCTCCCAAGTAGCTGGGACTACAGGTGTGCACCACCACACCTGGCTAATTTTGTGTTATTAGTAGAGACAGGGCTTCACTATGTTGGCCAGGCTGGTCTTGAACTCCTGACCTCAGGTGATCCCCCCACCTCAGTTTCCCAAAGTGCTGGGATTACAGGCATGACCCACCATGCCTGGCCCAAGCAGTCTTTTTTTTTTTTTTTAAACTCCCCCACACTTTGTGCTGCTGATGTTGTGTTTCAAATTATGTGGACCCCTTCCACCCACTGTGCCCCACAAGTTCCTGCTTCTCTAAATGGCACTGTATTTCCCATGGGTGGTGGCAACTGCTCTGGCGATCTCACCTTAAGTCTGTGGGATTTTCAGATGAGTCTTCTTCAAATGGTGAGTGGTGGAAGCAGGAGTCCCTGGTGAAGTAGAAGTCTTTTGCTGTTGTCTTAATTCTGAGCATAGGCTGCTGACTGTTCAGGTACTATGCATTATTGGGTAATCCAACTGCTTTAGAGGATAGCTGTTTTTTTGCCTCTGTCTTTAAAAATATATATCTCTAAAATATTATGAGACCACTTGCCGAACCCTGAGAGGTGTTGCAAGGATCAGCTAATTGATTATTTTAAATGTTTTGAAACTGGCAGAGTGTTAGAAAGAAAGGCAGGCTCAATAACTTTAGCAGGCTCAATGGGAGTACAAACTGTACAAAATGACTCTCTTAATTTGCTTTGGTATCTAATAGAATTTGCTTATTGTATAACATGTCCCATCAAAATGAGTTATGTGTGTTATTACATTAAAACATGACCTGGGAAAATGCTTTAAGATAAAAAGAGCTATTTGGAAAATATACGGAGCTTTTGTCAAATGGAGTTGCAGCTTCGAAAACCACTTGGGTTTTTCTGACTCAAGGGAAGCCCCGTGAAGCATGATTCATTTGTTAAGAGCCTACTGTGTGTCAGGTACTGGAGATGTGTTACCATAGTTCCCAGCCTCAGAGGCCCATGGAGTAGAAGAAGAGGCAGATAGACAAACAGTCAAAACTCTTTAACAGTATGTGATAGGGTTACCATGGATGAATATACAAGGTACAGAGTGATAAAAAAAAAAAGTGGTAATTAGCTCAATCTTGGGGGAAATCAAGAAGGATTCATAAAATAGGAAAGGCTTGAGTTGATCTTTAGGAATAAGGAAAATTTGCCACCTGATAAACGGGTGAAGAACATTCCAGACAGAGGGAACAACATATGAAAAAATTTCTTTCTGTGTCATTCAAAATATATTAAAGAATTTCAACTTCCTTTATATCCAGCTTCTATCTTATTCTTTGCACATAGTAGATATTCAATTAATACTTGCAAATGAATGGTAGTGGGTGGTAGGATTATACATAGTGAATTCACTTTTATTCATTGGGCTTGTCTATATTTTCTACAATAAGCATGTCTTTCTTTCATAATTAGAATATTTAAAAATATTTGGGGTATGGTTGTCAGGGCCTGGCTGTACTAGAAGTGAAGGTTATTGTAGTGAAAGAAGTCAGCAGACTTTGGGCTTTGGTGTTTGGGGACAGCAGTGGGGCAGAGGCTTGACTGCCAAGGATATTGTTGGAAATGAAGATAGAATGATGGGTTGTGGCTCATATTTTTGGACTTTATGTTGTAGATAGGAAACCATTGAAATTATTAGGCAGGGGGACCATAATAAGTATACTCTGGCAACAATGAAAAGCATAATTTGGTTATGGGAAAGATTTAAGGGAGGGGGACCAGTTGTGGCACTTTTATAATCCAGGTGGGAAGTATGGAAAGTTTTCCTGTTTGGGTAGGGGAAGAAGATAATGCATTTGGTTTTAGGATAAATTTAAAGTGTTGGTGAGATCGTCTCCAGGAAGGCTACTAAGTCTTCAGAACTGCTTGTGGGGACAAATCAGCACCTAAAACATCACTGATGCCAGAGACCTGGGAGAACTGGAGGAGGAGGATGCCTAGGATGTCACAAAGGCAAGAGAAGAGCAGAAGAAAATGGTCCTGTAAAACCCAGGGGAGACAATGACGGGGAGGTGGTTCAGAAATGAGCAAATTAGTCAGGAATGAGGTTATTTTCTTTTCTCCAGATATTTCCTCTTCCTCTCTGCCTTCAGGTTTCTGCTCAAATGACCTTTCTTCTGAGATGTCTTCCCAGACCACCTACCTAAAACAGCACCCTCATCACTTCCTATCACCTTCCCTGAGCACTGTTTTAAAATGTAGATTTTAGTATTATTCAGATGTGATGAGGCCAACAGATTAGGAGAGAGTTGCCTTCAAAAAGAGAGTTGGTTAGTCACAGTTCTGAAGAGGAGGGGGCATGGCATGCCGATGGCGGGAGGGTGTCACTCAGGGAAGGACCCAGAGTCAGTCGGAAGGAAGAGGGGAGTGAGCGACAAACATGAGCAGAAGGCTTTATTGTGTTTTTTGTGGGAAGGAACAGGAGAAGCAGGATGAGCAGATTTAGGATTGCCTAGTTTGAATAATTTCACTGCTTTGGGGCATAGGGCTTGTCCCTAGCTGTTTGGTACCTGGTACTGGGGTGATTAGGGCGGGGTAATAGTGACCTGAGTGTGAGAGCCCAACAAAGGAGGTGATTGGGGTATGGGCTTCCAGTTGGTTGGTTTGCTCATGAAAGATGCACTCTAAGAATTGGCTTGCTCCGGGAGAAGCAGTCTCTCCAGGATCAGTACAGCCCCAGATTTCAAAGCATCACAATAAAAAGACAAGCTTTCTGTTCCTGAATTAATTCATTTAGGATTATGGCCTCCAGCTATATCCATGTTGCTGCAAAGGACATGATTTTGTTCTTTGTTTACAGCCACATAGTTTTCCATGGTGTATTATGTACCATACACATTTTCTTTATCTAATCCATCATTGATGGGCACCTAGGTTGATTCCATGTCTTTGTGGAAACTAAACATTGAGAACATATTGGCATAAACATGGGAACAATAGACACTGAAGACTACTAGAGGCGGGAAGGTAAGAGGGGAGTGTGGGTTGAAAAACTACCTATTGGGTACTATGCTCACTACCTGGGTGACAGGCTCTGTACCTCAAACGTTAGCATCATGTAATATACCCATGTAACAAACCTGCACGTGTACCCACTGTATCTAAGATAAAAGTTGAAATTAAGAAAAAATGAATAAAATAAAAAGTCATGCTTAGTATGAGCACCACCTGACATTATACTGCACGTTTATCTGCTTATATGAAGCAGTGCCAAGGCTGGGACTAGGGTGAGTGAGTAAGGCACTCCCCTTGGACATAAAATGTAAGGAAGGCCCCAAAGCTCAATAGTCAAGATTAAAAATATATATATTTATTTTAAGAAGCACAATTAATATGAAAATATCTATAATGAACAAAATATTAAAATTTCATTTATTTATTTATTTATTTATTTATTTTTGAGATAGAGTTTTGCTCTTGTTGCCCAGGCTGGAGTTCAATGGTGCGATCTCAGCTCACTGCAACCTCCAGCCCCTGGTTCAAGTGATTCTCCTGCCTCAGCCTCCTGAGTAGCTGGGATTACAGGTGTGCGCCACTATGCCTGGATAATTTTGTATTTTTAGCAGAGACAGGGTTTCACCATGTTGGCCAGGCTGGTCTCGAACTTGTGAGTGATCTGCCCGCCTCGGCCTCCCAAAGTGCTGGGATTACAGGCGTGAGCCACAGCTCCCAGCCAAAATATTAAAATTTTAAATAAAGACAGGATTAGTAGCAGTGTTGTGCTGAGTCATGAAACAGAAGAGCCTGAAACAAAAAGAAAAATCATTATCTTTTGATTTTTAAAAACTATTGTGTTAAAATAGTGGTTATCTTGGTTACTGAGTTTTTTTGGCATTCCCTTACCTTTTGCATGATGGGCAAGTGCCTTGCTTGCCTCACCTTCCTCCTGGCCTGGGGAATACCATGGGGGACCCTGGGGTTGGGTGGAAGGTGGGAGGGGAATTAGGAGCTGAGATTTGGCTGTTCTCCTTCAGAGGAGGTGTGCCTTTTCCAATTTTCACTGGTCTAGAACCATTTAGTTTTTTTTTTTTTTTTTTTTTTTTTTGAGACAGAGTTTTGCTCTTTTTGCCCAGGCTGGAGGGCAATGGCGCAATCTCGGCTCACTGCAACCTCCGCTTCCTGGGTTTAAGCAATTCTTGTGTCTCAGCCTCCCGAGTAGGTGAGACTACAGGTGTGCACCAGCACGTCCAGCTAATTTTTTGTATTTTTAGTAGAGACAGGGTTTCACCATGTTGGCCAGGCTGGTCTCAAACTCCTGACCTCAGGTGATCCACCCACCTCAGCCTCCCAAAGTGCTGGGATTACAGGCATTAGCCACCGCACCCGGCCAGAACCATTTAGTTTTAATGAGAAGAGGAACTGTGTTAGTGAAGAATATGTTTAGCAGCAAATAACATAACACTTTGGCTTAAGCAAGAAATGATTTAATTTTCTCACATTGCAAAAAATCTGGAGGTAACCACTGCTGGAGTTGTTTCAGTGACAGTGTGGTCGGATCTGATGTCCCTTTGGGTTTATTTTTGTTTTTAGAAAAGGAGCACCATCCGCATCTGTCCTTCACATCAAGAAAGCTCAATTCTTAGAAGGAACATGATTGGAAAAAAAAATCAAAAACAAAAAGAAAGCTCAATCCTTTTCAGAAACATTCTTCCCAACAAGTTCTTCTTAAACCTCTTGCTCAATCCTGAGTCAAATGACACCCTTACCCCTAGCCTCCAGCCACAAAGGAGGCTGAGAAAGTGAGGAGCAGAACTGTCAAGACTGACTAGGACAAATCTTGCTCTGCTGCCTGTGGCTGGGCATTTTGTCCCTTTGCACAGCATTGAAGTTCTTAGCAACAAAGAAAGATTATGAAAGCAATTAATGGTATCTGCCACAGGGCCTTTGACTGCTGACATCCTTTCACAGGAACAGGGATGTTGATATCTTAGCATATTTACATATTTTTCTCCTTTCAAGTATAGTAAACATCTTCCTTACTGTCCTGCATGGCATCCAGCCCACTGATTTTTATGGGCTTAGAACCCTGTAGTATTAAAGGGTCAGTCTGTGGTACCCCTGGAGATCAAGCCCTCCAGCCCTGAGGAGAAGTGAACACGGAAAGCGTTACAGTCATGGCCTTCTTTCTCATAAATGACTCTGAATTGGCTGCGTGTTTAAGTCTTTACTCCTGCTGGGCCTTCTGTCCAGGACCCTACCTCATCACTGGAGACAGATGCCGTCCCTGGGGTGGAGACCCAGGGAAATGGATCATTACATTTTACTCTTTATTTATTTATTTATTTATTTATTTATTTTTTTAGTATTTATTGATCATTCTTGGGTGTTTCTCGGAGAGGGGGATTTGGCAGGGTCATAGGACAATAGTGGAGGGAAGGTCAGCAGATAAACATGTGAACAAGGGTCTCTGGTTTTCCTAGGCAGAGGACCCTGCGGCCTTCCGCAGTGTTTGTGTCCCTGGGTACTTGAGATTAGGGAGTGGTGATGACTCTTAAGGAGCATGCTGCCTTCAAGCATCTGTTTAACAAAGCACATCTTGCACCACCCTTAATCCATTTAACCCTGAGTGGACACAGCACATGTTTCAGAGAGCAAGGGGTTGGGGGTAAGGCCACAGATTAACAGCATCCCAAGGCAGAAGAATTTTTCTTAGTACAGAACAAAATGGAGTCTCCCATGTCTACTTCTTTCTACACAGACACAGCAACAACTTGATTTCAATCTGATTTTTCTTTCCTTTCCCCACACTTCCCCCCTTTCCACTCGACAAAACCGCCATCGTCATCATGGCCCTTTCTCAACGAGCTGCTGGGTACACCTCCCAGATGGGGTGGCGGCCGGGCAGAGGGGCCCCCCACCTCCCAGACAGGGTGGCCGCTGGGCGGGGGCTGCCCCCCACCTCCCTCCCGGAGGGGGCGGCTGGCCGGGCGGGGGCTGTCCCCCACCTCCTGGAGGGGGCGGCTGCGGGGCGGAGACGCTCCTCACTTCCCAGATGGGGTGGCTGCCAGGAGGAGGGGCTCCTCACTTCTCAGACTGGGCGGCCAGGCAGAGCCGCTCCTCACCTCCCAGACTGGGTGGCGGTTGGGCAGAGACACTCCTCAGTTCCCAGACAGGGTCGCGGCCGGGCAGAGGCACTCCTCACATCCCAGACGGGGTGGCGGGGCAGAGGCGCTCCCCACATCTCAGATGATGGGCGGCGGGGCAGAGGCGCTCCCCACATCTCAGACGATGGGCAGCCGGGCAGAGACGCTCCTCACTTCCTAGATGGGATGGTGGCCGGGAAGAGGCGCTCCTCACTTCCCAGACTGGGCGGCTGGGCAGAGGGGCTCCTCGCTTCCCAGACGGGGTGGTGGCCGGGCAGAGGCTGCAATCTCGGCACTTTGGGAGGCCAAGGCAGGCGGCTGGGAGGTGGAGGTTGTAGCGAGCCGAGATCACGCCACTGCACTTCAGCCTGGGCAACATTGAGCACTGAGTGAGGGAGACTCTGTCTGCAATCCTGGCACCTCGGGAGGCCGAGGCTAGCAGATCACTCGCGGTTAGGAGCTGGAGACCAGCCTGGCCAACACGGCGAAACCCCGTCTCCACCAAAAAAATACGAAAACCAGTCAGGCGTGGCGGCGTGCGCCTGCAATCCCAGGCACTGGGCAGGCTGAAGCAGGAGAATCAGGCAGGGAGGTTGCAGTGAGCCGAGATGGCGGCACTCTACAGTCCAGCCTCTGCTCGGCATCAGAGGGAGACCGTGGAGAGAGAAGGAGAGGGAGACCGTGGGGAGAGGGAGATGGAGAGGGAGATGGAGAGGGAGAGGGAGAGGGAGAGGGAGAGGGAGAGGGAGAGGGAGAGGGAGAGTACATTTTACTCTTTAGCTACGCACTGAATAAGCAATCGCTATTTATTGATTTAAAAAAGTTCCTGTCTGGGATTTAAGATCCGGTAGAATGTGATGGAGGTGTCTGAGATTCTTAATAGTATCTCATTAGAAAAAGAAGAGCATACAGATTCCATGGTCTAGATGTCCCCACATATTTTAATATGGAAGAAATGAGTTTATTAATACTGTTTGGAAGGAGAAAAGAAACAGAGAACACATCTGAAGAAGTAACATGTTAAGTTTAGATGTGTGTATGGAAAGCAGACCCTGCCTGGGTGGATGTGGAAGAGTCTGTGTTGATGATAGATGTGCACTGTGGGTCTCCATATCAGCATTTACTGCCACTTGCTTCTTTACCTTTTTTTTTCTCTGCTTCCCTGAGCCACAGTGAATCCATTACTTGTTCCCATGATTGCCTTCTCCAGTACATTTGCAGAGTAAAGTCTTCATTTTATGCACACGTAGCACATTTTTAAGTTGAACCATGTTTTATTCTAGATTCCTAAAGTTAGATGAGTCCTAACCAAGTAACTCAGTCTAGAATTTCTTGCCTTGCCCTTTGAAAGATCTTTCCAGAGATAATGTCTTCATAGGAACAGTGAAAAAGACTTTGGCAGGGCTGATCCTAACTGCATTCATTGGAAAGCAAATGTGAAAGGCTTGATAAATATGAAACTGCACTTGGTTGTTTTCTAGATAGTGTTCAAAGAAAGGGGCCCCGGTCCTGTCTTCTGGATACTTATTATCTAAAATTTTTTAAAAGTGTAGAATAATTAATGGAGTTGATTGTTCTAGTTCTTATCTATAATGCAATAATTTATTATCTTTATTATTATTATTATTATTATTTTCAATAGTGAGAATCAGAGGAACTGTCCTACCAGCTCTGTAATTACAACCTTAGATTGCCTTACCCCTTGCTCAGAATCTTTCCTTGACTGCATTGACCCACCTTAAGAAATCAATGTTCCAAAGATGCACCTGCTTTTCGTACCCTATCTAAGAACTCTGAGCCTAATCTTTAAGCTGTGAAAAATGGACACTCACTTCCCCTAATGAGACAATATTTCAGAACCTGCATGGTGTTCTCTCTTGCTTCAGTAATTCAATAAAATTCAAAGTAATACTCAAAAATAAAACCCCAAATAAAAGTTAGTGTGTATTCTTATAGGGCATTTTCTACATAGGTAAAATAAATACATCTTTTGAGGTTGAGGGTGAAGACGAGGAGCAAGTCCACTGAAGGTCACATTCAGTCTAGACCTGCTGAGCAGACAGTGTGATTGGGTGCTTTTGACTGTTCCAGCCTTTCTCAGTTGGGGTATCGACTTTTCCAGGTTCTCTCTGATATCCCCACGGGAGGTTCTTCCAGAATATTTTCAGTACAGTTTTATAATTCCTGGCATAAATATTTGTTGGATGATCAAACAACTGAATGCCATGCCTTTCTGAGCCTACAACAGACCCTTGACATTTCCGATGACTGTCTCTGGAGACATTCAAGAATCCCTAGATTTGTGCACACCAAACTCCCCTGTGGCATATAATTACCTCACAAAAAGGATATTTTTTGAACTGGCTAGAGCAGTCACTGAAATTTCAGCATTTTCTACCCTGTCTTCATATAGAGCATACTGTGATTCTTTCAAGTCCTAGATCCAAGTCCATTGCCAAATTTGACATTCTACTCTTTCATGCATTAAAAATTCCAGTGGGAACTCAACCTGGATTTCAATTTGAAATGCCCTTGAGATTTCCTCATTATGCTGCAGGTACTAGGTCTCTTTCATTCATCTGGTGACATTTACTCTGATACTACAAGATGGCAACTTGTCTGTCTCATGGCAATTACTCTGGCCCACTGTGGCAATGCTTCCATTTGCTGTTTGTCCTGAGAGTGGTTCCTACATGGCTGATGCCCACTGAAGGTGCTGCTGAAGCTGATGCCTCTGTTGCTAATGCCAGCCAAGTCCTGTGCCCAGGAAGCAGAGGATGCCAATGTCTGATGTCAAGGCCCTGCTACCTGTACTAGGAGCACTGGTTTCCAGGCCACAGAGCTGCCAGCAGGAGGGCTGGGATGCCCTGTGATGTCCTGTCTCATAAAGGGCCAAAGATTATAATTTTGTTATTTTTCTGCTTCTTAGGCACCCATTCCTTCTTTATGTAAGCCAAAGTACAAAATAATTCAAGTTATAATTCAGCACTCCTTATAGCATAAGAGTGTATAGGAGCAATGCAATTTTAAAAAGGTCAATTTAGGCAATGTGTAAAGTCTGGTAGTCTTTATAATCACTGTGTCTGTAATATGCCAGACTTGGGGAGTTTATTGCTTTTTTGATTTGGGGAAGGTATTGTATCCTATACTGTGACTAAATTCTCAAGTCAACATTTAAAGAAAAATAATGAACATAAGCAAGGAATGCTCAAAATTCTCTTAAATTGCTCATAAATATACATGGCCGTATTTACATGTCACAATGAAGACTGACATACTATCCTTTAATAAATCTGACACAGCTGGTTTTCCACCAGCATTGAAACAAATCACTATTTGACTGCTAAAAGTAGTTGTGTTTAGGGGCCCTGTTGTATCAGAAATATAGCTTTAGATTCTATAACGCTATGGAATCCAGCAAGATGTTCATGCTGTGAGAGGTGAAAAACTGAAGCCAACTAAGGGAAAAAAATGGGGCAGATTCACTCCTTCCATGAAATAATAGTAAAAGTAATAAAATAACAAAATTAACATTTATCAGACATTTTTAGGCACGTTACATACATACTCACTTAATCCTTATAATAAAATCAGAAAGTGTTTGCCCTTACTCTGCCCATTTTATAGAAAGTAAAATTGAGGCACAGAGAGGTAGAGAAGTCAAGTGACTTGCATCGTGAGAAGGTGGCAGAGCTGGAGTTTGAACTTAGGCAATCTAGCTCCAGTGCTCTTGTTCTTAACTGCTTTATTCTATACTTTTCACTATGATTGCACTAGTTCAATGATCTTTCCCCTTTTCTCTCTAGGGAGGATGGAATTTAATAATTTAAAATTTTTAAATGATGAGACTTTCTTGTACTTTCTTGTTGTAGCAAAAACTCAAATGATACTAAAAGGCATATAGTATACCATAAAGAGATGATCTCCCATATTCTTGGCCCCACATATAACGAATGCTAGGGATTTGTGTATTTTTCCCCTTAGGATTTCTTTTAGCATGCACTCACACATATATTGTTGTTGTTCACTACATACTTTAATTTCTCTTTTTACTTATCAATGTCATAGGCATCTTTCTGTATCTGTATATAGAATTCCACTTCCTCCTCTTAAAGAGCTATTTTCAGCCACACACTCTTCCACTAAATGAATAAACTATCATTTGCGTTTGTGTGTTTCCCTATTGATGAACAGTCAGGATTTATAATTTTTTTGCCAGGTTTTTACTATTATAAACTCTGTGGAAAACATGCTCATTTGTTCTTGTAGTCTTCTGTGGATTTATTTTTTAGCCTTAAATCTTTAATCCATGTGGAATTTATTTTGTACAGGAGGTGAAGTGGGGATTACAGTGATTTCTTGACTTTCCTCATTCTAATGATTACCCACCTGAAGAGATTCAGTCTCCAGGCACCCAAGTAAACACATTGCATCTGTTACAAAAATACATTGAAAATTGTAATAAGGGGGAGTCTCTGTGGTGGAAAATAATAGGTAGTGTGTTGGGAAGAGGCAGCAGAAACAGCAGGCTTGGCCAATATAGGACTGAGCAAGGAGCTCTGCTTTCAGGTTAGAATGCTGCATTCTAATTAGCAATATTACTCCCAAATGTTTAGCTGCAGTGGTGGGGGGATTAGAGACTCCTGCTTGCTCATCATAATTCAGAACCTGAACATCACAATGTCTGATTAGATCTTCTCTCTTTTGAAAGGTCAGCCAACAAAATTGTCATGTTGTGTCATTCAAGGTCTAGAAGTTACTCTGCTATAAGCTTGATGCATTTTTTTTTTAAGTTAAAAATTGTCCTGTTACTGTCTAGTGTCTTTTAGTAACCTTTGCTAGACTAAGATTCTGGCAGGCCATCATACAATGATATCTGAAATCTTTCAGCCACTTAGAACAATTCTAGTCCTTTATGTATTTTTTCTTTATCACTTTGGACACTATGCCAGAAAGAGCCTCTCCACCTTAAGCCTTGCGGTATGTTTTCCTTGGTGTTTACTCACAAATCAACATTCAATTCACTCTTTGAGTCTTGGATATTGTAATTGAATATTACTTTCAATTAATTTCCATGGGAAAAAACTCCTGAGATAAGCTATGCTCTTCTGGAAACATAATCTTTATACAGAAATTAATGAAGCTAAATTTTCCCAATTTTATTGCTTGGCTGTAAGTGTCTAAGTTGGGGAGATATCTTAATTCTTTTACAACACAAGATTCTTAATTAGAATTCTGTATGGGGTGACAAGTTCAGAGGACAAAAACTGCAATTATGGGCAACCGTTTTGCATGACAGTTGCTGCTGCCTGGCTTCATTGACTTAGCCCATCCTGCAGAGGAATCCTCTTGGTTCTGTTGGACCAACCATCTCAGTGCTCAGAGCTGTTGAGCTAAAAAGTCTAAGGATCTGATCTGTGGAGAGGGGTATTCAGGGCTGACAATGATCATTATTACTATTTTACTATTTGTGACTGTCATCTAGACCACTAATTTCATGCACAGGTAAGACTCAACTATTTTAGTTACATTCTGGGTTAAGTCTTGTGGGTTATGAAGGAAATCTCATCACTACAAATACCAATATTTTCTGAAGTGTGGTTGCCTCAGATTACTTGGGTGTTTAGTCAAAATGCTGTTTGTTGGATTTTATCCCAGAATCAGAATCTCTGGTGGTAGACCTCAGGAATCTATTTTTAACAAGTCTCCTATGCTGTGCACACTAACATTTGAGTATCTGATTTATAACATTTCTTCTACAGAAAAAATGTACTCCTGGTTCTAACCAGCTGGCTTCAAAGTATATCTTTATGATTTTGTGTGTGGGTGTGTTGGGTCTTGCCTGTGTGTGAAATCAGTGATCTGGATGACAGACACATTTCTAAAGTGTATAGTAAACAACTGGTGAATAGATTATGGCTCAGGACATTAAATGTTCAGTTCTAAGGTATGGTGCTAGGGGACTACGCTGAGAATTACTATGAGAATTAAAGCACAAAATGAATATTCAGCTGGAAGATGAAACTGCAAGATACCTGCAAATCCTGGGAGACTTACCTTCTCAGGGTTACTTCTGGGAGATCCCTTTTTTTCTGCTCTGCATCTAGGGATGGCCCTTTATCTTCTCTTTCCCAGTATGGTAGACCCCTTCTTCTTGATCTTTCCAGCCATAAACAAAATCTTTATAGAGGATTGAGGAATCAAAGGAAAGTAGTCAGTCACGCTGCCGTATCATGCAGCATAGAATTCAACTTACAATCATGTATTAAACATTCCTGGCCTTGACAGGGGTTTTGGCCAACTCATCACAGGGTATGGCTCACCAGTCAAAGCCACTTCATGTCATATCCTGGCCTCTCTCTGTCTTTCTGGCTCCTTGGTCTCCTTCATTCCTGTCACCTCTCCAGGCTTGCTCTCAGGACTGCCAAGTTCTTATTGTTTTATTCAGAAAACATCAACTTGCTTAAGCTTCTACTCCCAAACTCCCCCCAGAGCAACCTTTACATACCCGACACCAACCAAGGTGCTTGGTTTCACAAAAGGGCTACCTACCTAGTCTTTTCTTTCACAGACTCCATCCTCCTTAAAATGCAATTTTGGGATTAAATATCATTTTCCTAAGGTCTATTATATATTTCTACATAATATGTAGAATATATATTTCTATATAATAAGGTCTATTATATATTTCTTCTGTGGAAAAATTAATTTTATGTGGGCTTTCCCAAATGCATAAAAGCTGAGAAGGAATTTTTCCTTCCTACATTATCAAAGAATCTTTTTGTTGGGAGATGGTCATCTAGAAAAAGTTAAGCAGGATTTTTATAAGGTTTTAAAAGGCAAGTGCACATCAGGCTCTCTCAATTAATCTAATCAGTCTTTACAACACTTTTACTAACACATTAAAGAATGCGTCATTTATGTTTGTGGCCAGATAAAGGAAAACAGAATTATTTCCCACTTGCCAGCAAGAAGAGTTCTCGTGATGCCAGGTGAGTGGCATCTGCAAGGTCACTCAGGGCATTCTGTGTGACAAATCATATTTTGAGAATAAAGCAACAGAATTAAATTGTTTTCAGTAGGATTTACTTTCTTGCTATCTTATCGTTTGTATTTCTGAGTGCTTTCTGTTTTGCCTGGAAAGTCATTTTCCAGACGAGAGATCATTTTATTTAGTGCTCTTATTTTCTTGGTAAGTATTCTAAATTTTTCCTAGTAATTCCTATTTTTATGCACAGTGATTCTCAATTGGTGAGAAAATTATGATCTCATAATCTCTTTTCCTTGTACTTGCTGAATGATTAGCCTCATTTGCTGTGTGAGTTCCACTTCACGGTTGTGAAATGATGACTCTCCCTGACTCTGGCTGAGCATGTCGTCTTGATGGCTTTGACCTTTTCCAAGAAAACAAGGGAGATGAAAAGGTGTGACATGTGTGTAAATTGTCACTCAGATGGGGTTATTTTGGCCAACAGTTCAAAATATATGCTTTGCTAAACTCCCAGAAGGTACCAGTAGGCGTGTTTTGTGTTTGGGGTTTCTAAGGCATATGAGTCTCATTTTTAAGCAATAAGGGTTTTAAAAAATCCTAATTGGTCATTAAATATAAAGAGTCCATTTATATCCTGAATCACAAGATGTGTGAATAAATGCATTACAGACTCCCAAGGAAAACCCTGCTCTTGAGTGGTACGGTTAAATTTGCTTCATCTGCACTGTGATGGATATTACTTCCACTGCACTTAATTGGAATAACTGACAACTTTAGATTCAGAGCATTTTGATGACTTCAAGGGATGTATAAGTATCTTACCAAATCCATTCAGATGGTATTCTCAGTTTGGTTAGGGGTCTCACTGTAGTAATTTGCAGGTGTGACTGATATTAACTTATAAATTTCCTATGACTAGTCCTTTGTTGCTTTCAGGCTTCCCCACATTGGATAATGATTGCTTAGCAAGCATATTTCACCTTCCTTCTCTGCAGGCCCTTTATTGCTTTGAGATGTGCCTCTATGTGTGTGTGTGTGTTATGTGTGTGAGTGTGTGCACGTGTGTTTTTAATAGTGATACATGAGACAGTATTTCCCACCAGAGCATATTAATATGAGATTTTGAAGCCATTTCTTACTTGACACATTTCTCTCTTCACTTGGCTGTGCTTTTAGTTAAGGGGACTTGGACTATGTTTGACTGGCTAGGCAATGACAAAACAATAATGACAGTGTTGAAATATACGCATGCTCTAACAATCTGTATGATATCACACCTGGTCCAGTCCTGTGATATTATTTTTAGTAATCCCCATCAGGGCGGGTTTGAAGTCCTGCATAATAACTCTAATATGTTGCTGTCATGGAGCTGGTAAATTTACATATGGGTGAAGTGATTAATCTTAAAAATTCTTTTTTCATTTTTATGAAAAATGAGATTCTCATTATCTGACATTAGAACATGATCTTTTTTCGTCATTTATTTTTCTTTTCTATCACTAAAAATTTAACCCTATGCAACTACATTGCTTAGGGTTAAATTTATCACCAATTTTTGACTCATTTTAGAGACTTTAGAAACACATGAAATTGTGCTACAAAGATGAGTATAAATTTATTTAATCGTAACAACAATTCTATGAGGTAGGAACTTTTGTTATCCTCACTTTAAGAATGAGAGACTTAAGTACAGAGAGATGAACTAACTCGTCTGAGGTCACACAATCAGGAAGCTGCAGAACCGAGATTTGAACCTAGGAATGGTTTTGATGCTGGGGAAAAACACACAAAAACAGAACACTCATGTAATACTTGCTCTCTCTTTGTAATATTTCAGACATACTTACACTAAAAAAAAACTTCATTGTTTATCTGAAATTCCAATTTCAATGAAAATGAGTGCCCTGTATTTTATCTGGTAAATTCAAACCGAAGTTGTCTGGCTTCAGAGCCCACGTTCTTATGCTAATTCTGCCTAAACCCAGGCTTAATTGGTTGGTGTTGACTTTGCACATCTTAGGTAATTTTTTTTCTATATTTACCCAAGGTTTTTGGTTATTGTTGTTGTTTGTTTTTAATTTTTCTATCCAAGGTTTTATTGTTCAAGAAGATTCTTCTATCTAGAGGTATAGCTTACTATCCATGGTAGTGAGAAAGTTAGCAAAGCCTTTAATTTGCTCTATGCTCAGCATTGTGTCAAAGATTAATGAGGATTTGTTTCACCCCTAAAGGAGCTCATAATCTAGTAGAAAAGATGGAATGTAAAAAGCTAATTATATTATAATAGAATAATAGCTTTTCTGTATTATGAGCTGTTAACTCTCCTTAGTAGGTTTGGGGAAAGCATCAGAGATTAGGGAACATTTGAAGTGAGCCTTGAGGGATGAATAGGAGTTCATTAGAGAAAGACATTATGGATAGAAAGGAAACAATGTGAAAAAAGGCAAGTATCTGTGAATGTGCGTGGTGGAGACATGTTTTTTGTTTTGTTTTTGGTTTGTTTGTTTGTTTGTTTTGAGACAGAGTCTTGCTCTGTTGCCCAGGCTGGAATGCAGTGGTGCAATCTTGGCTCAATGCAACCTCCCTCTCCTGAGGTCAAGCGATTCTTGTGCCCCAGTCACCTGAGTAGCTGGGATTACAGGTGTGCACCCTCATGCCTGGCTAGTTTTTGTATTTTTTGTAGAGATGGGGTTTTGCCACATTGGCCAGGCTGGTCTCAAACTCCTGGCCTCAAGTGATCCATTGGCTTCAGACTCCCAAAGTGTTGGGATTACAGGTATAAGCCAGTGTGCCCAGCCTGAGACATGTTTTTTGTTTTTTTTTTTTAAACATAAGGTATATGTGTTCTGCTTAGTAGTGGATGATGAGAATTAGAGAGTGGGATATGGATATGACTTCAAGGACTTTTAAACTGAAAAGTGATGTGATCAGATATATGTTTTAAAAATATAACTGTAATAGCAGTGTGGCAGATAGGAAAAAGACTGTGGGTAGACTGGACAACTGAGCCATTTTAAAAGCACTGTTGTTCATCTCTTCTTTGTGATGGTTTGGATGTTACTATGGACTGAATTATGTCCCCCACAAATTCATATGTTGAAGCTCTACCTCTCAAGGTAATGGTATTTGAATATGGGGCCTTTGGGAGATAGGCTTAGATGAGGGAATGAAGCAGGGTCCTCACAATGGAATTAGTGCCTTTATAAGAAAAGACATCAAAGAGTCCTGTTCCCAACCCCTCTCTGCCATGTGAGGACACGGCAAGAAGATGGCCATCTTCAAGCCAGGAAGAGAACCCTCTACGGAACTGACCATGCTGACACCTTGATCTTAGACGTCTAGTCTCCAGAACTGTGAGAAATAAATTTCTGTTGTTTAATCCACTCAGTCTATGGTATTTTGTTATGTCAGGTCAAGCCGACTAAAACAGGTGTACAATTTGTTATAGGCAAAATTTATGTCAAATGCTCCAAAGTTGACTTTGAGGACATATTCTATAAGAATCCATTCATTTTATTTCTAGGATATACCAGCTTCTAAAATTCTTAATTATTGCATACAAAACAAGAAAATAATTTACATGGGAAAATAATATGGCCCAATACTAAATGTAGAGTAATGGTATAAAAGAATTTGTCTGTTTTTTAGTGCCATTAGAGAAAACATGCTACCTACTGTTGGTGAAATTTTGTTGGCTAATCCGCTTTGTTGGCTCTCTTCCTGTTTGCCCTCCATACAGGTTCTTGGTTTTTCTTCAACCTGATGAGTGACTGGGGAAGCTTGCCTATCAGGAATAGAGATTCCTTGCCTTCTGGCTTCTGGTTGGGTTTGGGCAATGCAGGAAACTGATAGGACATCCAAGGGAGGCAAGAGTATGCAGTCCTGTCCTCACTCTGCTGGATCACACAGGTTGGCTGCTTCCCTCTCTTGAAAGGCATAGCTTCAGACTCAGGTGTGCCCCCTTTCAAAAAGTCCTCTCTGGCTTCTGATACCTCATGTCCTATTCAGGTCTTGGGTGGTAATCTCTTCCCTCCCACCCACCATCATCTTACTAGTTCCAGGTATGTTTCTATTCCTTGCTGATTTCCTTCTTTTTTCCTATTGAGAGGAGAGAGAGGATTGTCCTAAATCATCAAAGGAGCTCTGCTGGCTTCTAGATATTGTATTAAAGAGGGGAACAGCTTTGTGCCTATGTGCAAGTCCTCGGCTGTTCCTAGGGTCTGCAAGAGGATGTGGCCTAGCATGGTATTGGGCAAATTAACCAAATGTGTAACCCAGTTCCATCTGTCTTAGTCATACTACATTAGCTTGTAAATCTTATTTTGTTAGAGGTAAAGTAAAATTAGGGAAAAATTGAGAACAAATGTAAGGTTGCTTGGGAATGTATACTTCAGGGTATTACAAATCTGGGAAGGAAAAACAAATTGCTTAGGCAGTATGGAAGAAAGAGATCTGGATGTATGTTATCAAAAATATAAAGGCATTTGGCTGGGCATGGTGGTTCATGCTTGTAATTCCGGCACTTTTGGAGGCCGAGGTGAGCAGATAACCTGGAGGCAGGTGGATCACCTGAGGTCAGGAGTTCGAGACCAGCCTGGCCAAAATGGTGAAACACTATCTCTACTAAAAAGACAAAAAAATTAGCCAGGTGTAGTGGTGCATGCCTGTAGTCCCAGCTACTTGGGAGGCTGAGGCAGGAGAATTGCTTGAACCCAGGAGGCAGAGGTTGCAGTTAGCCGAGATCATGCCATTGCACTCCAGCCTGGGTGACAAGATATTTTATGAAAAGTAAACACCCATTCATTTCATCACATGACATTAGATTATGCAGAGGGATTATGTAACATAGGCATTGAGTAGGAAACAAATATATGGTAAACACTTTGCAAATTACACCATGCTACATAAATGAAAGTTACTACAATAGTAATCCTATTTTTCAATATTCTACCATTATTAGAATATTCTGTCTAGATATTACAGGGCCATCTTTTTTTTTATCAGGATGGCTTTAATTTAATCTCATCTGCTGCAAGTAATTTATGATCTCTTGAGTTATCTTACAACCTTGGGCTTCTGTGAGACGTAAGACATAATGTGGGGAAAAAGATACTTTAGCTCACAAAAGGAAATCTGAAATATATTCTACACATTCACACTTCAATGATGATGATAATGTTAATTATTAAATGTTCTCCATAAGAGGATCTGAAGGCACTGTGAATAGAATAAGCAACAGGGAGTCTGAGCTAGGTAAAGACGGGAAGTAAAAATGATTCCCCTAATGTCTTAAATGCATGTAGGTCTTAAAGGCATACATTTCCACTCCTGTACATGGTCTTAATGGAGCTTCCTCCTACCTTGTGGAAAAGGATGTAGAAGCTGTTTGAGTTTGGGTCCCAAAGTGAATATGTACAAAACTGCGGCTGTTATCTAGGTCTCCTAACTTTTACTTTTATGATAGGTTGTCCAAGCTTCCACTCTTTGAAATACTACAATTTTGATGGGAAATTTGTGAGCACATTGAGGGAGAATGAAACCAAACAACCCAGTCAGTCTCTTAAAATTATGTGACCTGCTGCTGATGAGAAAGAGTTAACTTGGCAATAAAGCCACCATAAGGTTATATTCATCTGAACACTATGTGGTTGAAAGACAACTTGTTATAATTAACAAGTTCAGCAGGACCTTGGTAGCAGAGGATAGACATTGAATTCAGAGAATAAGTGCTGATTTGCATCTTATGTTCTTGGTAACTTTTGACATTGATTTGGCTGTATTTGTATTTGATAAAGTTGCTCTTACTACTTAAAAATACTTCAAATGGGAAAACTTTTATTTTGACCTCTTTGGAAACATTTTGCAAATAAACAGAACTCCAAGTCCCAAATGAATAATAGTGCTCAACTGTAAATTTAATGCAGTGAAACTTACAATTATATCAGTGCTGCCACCCAACTCAAGTAAATCAATAGCTTCCTAGCTGCATTTGTACTTGAGGATTGTTGTGGCAGTGGCAAATTTATTGCTGCAAACCTGAACTGTGAGGAATTAATACCAATGGTGTAGTATGCTACCAATGCAGCTCTGGTTGCCCAGTTGGAGTAGGGAAGGATGCTCTGGTGCACTTTTTGTGGCTAATGCAAATTAGTAGATAGTTGTGGGAATAAAGTTCTCTCCTTGATCTATGGCAGGAGATAGCTAGTGTGCAAGAGTTCATTTCAGACTGTAATTAGTTTATTCATTAAGGTTTGGGAATTCAATGACACAGCTGTATGAGGTACCATTGAAAGCTACCTGAACATATGGCAGAAGGGTAATGCAAATTCAGTTCCTGAAAGAAAAAGGCAAAATGGTGCAGCTCTGTGCTCTTATTTTACATCCTGCAGTGATTCCTTGAAGCAGGAGTGGTGATTTGATTATATTCCAAATCTTCTAATGTACATTGACTTTAGATGGAGGTGATATTTATTTTCCTTGAATGCTACACGAAGTACATATAAATGTATATAACACATCCCCACATGCATCCTTAGACATCTAGATACATAGACAAAAGACTGAACACTGTTTTTTGATTCCCAGCAAGAAAGACTAACATCTGTATCTACTAATAATGACTGTCTCCCTTTCTGTTTTTTAGAGTTAATTACTAGTCTTACGAGATTTTAAGTTTGATTAGAGGTGTATATACACAGATGAAATAAAACTATTGGTTGTATCTGATCTTTGTAAGACTTATGGGTATTCATACATATATGTAAAATTCAACCTTGCTTGTGCAATGTAAGCACTTGGGTAGAGAGCTTCTCTGAAATCTGTTTGTGTTGTTAAAGACCAATCTGACTTCAGACTTAGCCATATTTATGTAAAGTTTAAAATCCATAGAGCACTCAACTTACAAAAACCAAGGATTGTAATTCAAGTAGGTTATAGAAATAATCAAATTTTCATTGTTAGGAAGGAAGCCCAGTAGGTTGAAAAAAATTGATCGGAGGGAAGCAGAACTCGATTTGAACCATTATGCCAAGCCATCCTTATGCCTCTCTCTATTCTTCATATATCTCCTGTAAACACTCTAAATGAAAATGTTACTGAAGTCAAAGCATCGAACCAGAGAAACAAACAGGTGCAGAATTGTTACAGATCCCTCATACTTTTGTTCTTGGCAATTGATTTACTCTACAATTAGTGCCAAAATCTATTTATTGACTACATTGTGGCTTATAACACTGTGGTTTCTTCCTCCTGTGACTCTCAATCCATATTGATGGATCACACAAATGAAAGAAAATTCTTCTCCCATACCTAAGATGTTGAAACAGGAAGGATTTTGCAAGAATGCACAGTAAGATGATACTAGTGGCTGTTCCTTCAGAGTCTCAGTATAAGGAAGCTTTATATCCTATTTTGTGGTTTTCTGTATTGTCTAAATTGTGTTAAAATGTGTGTGTTACTTGTATAATAATTCAAAAGTTTTCATTTTCATTTTCAGAAGTAGAGACTTTTTTTCTGGGCAGGACCTAATGTTTGTGGTTGTGGGAGGCAGGTGGTTGCAGGTATATGGGCAGGAAGGGGACAACCATGGCTGTAAGTGGTAGGTTAGAGAGATGTTAGGCATCAGAGTGAGGATAGGGTCTGAAGCTACCCATATCAGAACAGATCTAGCAGCAAATTCAGCCAAGCAATGGGTTGAATTAAATGAACATAAAATCCTTTTAAGTGGTGATAAAAATCAAGGACTCAGGCAGGCAGCATAATCCAAGATCTAGTCTGATGGTCGTCAATGAGAGCTGAAACAAAAGGAATCAGTAGTCAGATGGCACAGTGCTAGAATCAGGAGACTTTCCTAGATGAGGCAGCTTTTTACCTCATCCCCCAAAACTTTCATATCTTTAGGTAAAATAATCCCCATGACAGAGAAATACCTACACAAGTATATATAAGAAGAAGCCTGAGGACACACGTGATGGATGAGGGAGTGCAGGCAGACCTTTACTCCAGTTGCATTTATATCCCTGGTGTTAACCTCATGAGTATATTACCACAGAGAATAGCAAGGCATTCTTCTGACAGTCTGTGGACAATTCTGCCATTAAAAAAAAAAGTCTTTTAACAAGGCATGGTGGCTCTCACATTTGTAATCTCAGCACTTTGGGAGGCCAAGGCAGGCGGATCACTTGAGGCCAGGAGTTCGAGACCAGCCTGGCCAACATGGTGAAACCCTGTCTCTACTAAAAATACAAAAATTAACCGAGAGTGGTGGCGCACTCCTTTAATCCCAGCTACTGGGGAGGCTGAGGCAGGAGAATCACTTGAACCCAGGAGATGAAGTTTGCAGTGAGCCAAGATCATGCCACTGTGCTCCATCCTGGGTGACAGAGCGAGACTCTGACTCAAAACAAAACAAAATAAAACCAACATAAACC
Organism: Homo sapiens; assembly: GCF_000001405.40. Lineage (NCBI taxonomy): Eukaryota > Metazoa > Chordata > Mammalia > Primates > Hominidae > Homo > Homo sapiens. The sequence continues at coordinate 82,062,382 of NC_000004.12, read as the reverse complement.
AACTTTCCTGTGGAGGTGAGGGGAGAAGCAGCAGAGTTCTGCTTCTTTTAGGCTCACACGAATTTGGCTGGGTTATGTTTAGACTGTTTTGTTCTTTGCAATGAGGGTTAGTGAAAGCTGCTCGTCCCCAGAATATGTGTTTTCTAAGGAGTATCTGTTGGCTAATTCCTGATTACTCAAACTTTTGCTGATGTTTTATGTGTGAAGAAGAAATAAAAGTTAAAATCTGCCATTGTGAATTTTATAATACTTTTGAGGAGATGAGAAACAATTATTTCTTCATTTTAACGTTCAATCATTCAGCAATTATTAACTATACTAGATACAATATCTAAAACAACAAACAGGATAGGCACATTTCTGCCTTCATGGACATTACAGTTAAATGAATTACTTAAATGACGCAAAACTTCTATTTTACTTATCTGCCCCAAATGCCCTACCTTCTCACTTAAATCACATTTTTTCTTTTTTGCAAATGAAGAATAGTACAAAATTAAACAAGGCCTTGTAATGTTAAAGCTTTTCTAATTTTACAAAATGATTTCAGCACATTTACTAGTATCTGGTGAAGAATTGTGATAATTAAAATTCAGCTATACTAATTAAAACAAATGAACAAAGTCTGTTTAATGCCCTTTTCCTTACAATTTTTAATTTCTGTTTTGCTTACTCCTGACTTTGCAGAATTCTGTAGTTCTCACTGGGGTTTTCCTGTCATTAGGGAAATTTATGAAATTATGCAGCTCAGAAAACATGAAGGACTTCTACAACAGTAATATCTGAATAAATGTAGGTTCCTTTGGGTCAGCTCCTTTAAACCAATGAATTTAAACTGATAAGTATTCTAAAAGTCAACCTTTATATAGTATGTTTATATGGTATGCTTTAAATATATATATATGTTATATATGTATGTATATATGTAATATATGTAATATATTTTATATACATAATGTTTTAAATACTATATTTAAATAAGTATATATATAATGTTTTAAATACTATATATATACTATATATATGCTATATATATAGTGTATATATATACAAGGTACTATATATATAAATATATAATGTTTTAAATACTATATTTAAATAAGTATAAAGCATGCTAAAATACTTATTATTTTAGCATGCTAAGGTTAAAGTTGATTTCCTATAGGTTTATATTCTCCAAGTCTCCTTGGGAATTAAAAGCTATATTTGTGATATGAAATCAACTAAATAAAAGTTACATAGAAAATAGGAAGCAAGAAATTATAACAAAATGTTAACAGGGTTGCCTCTGGGTACTGGGGTCATGAGGTTTTTGTTTGTTTACATCTTTTCTATATTTCTAAGTTTTCAAAAATAAGCACATAGTATGTTTTAGAAACTACAGTAATAGCAAATGCTAAATAATTTCATGGGTTGAGATGTCTTCCATAGATAGGACTTTTCTTTCAAAGCAGGTCTCAACTCTCCCTTTAAGCAATCCATTCACATTGAAGATAGACATCTTTTGGCTCATTTTGTTTTATAAACTGGTGTTTCATATATTTCATTAGAACACTAGCTCTAGGTCCTTTTAAGTGAGTTTGATCCAATAGAAAACTTAGCTTGATCCTTTTGATTTAATCCAACTTTGAAAGTATAGTGCTGCCCTGTGATTTAATGTAATATCAATAATAATAATAACAATATCTTTGCAAAGTGCTAGATCACAGGCATGGAAACTTTTGAGAGAAATCAGATTCCCATCTGCCAATATGATTTCCACTCCAACTCCAGATCCCCAGAATAGGAGAAACTTAGTACATGGTTCCAAGCGAAATGACAGAAAGTTCAGGCAGGCTTCATGAGAGTGCGGTGAGGTTTTAGGACACGTGTCTTAGACCTGATAAAGATACGGGATTTGGAGACCAAGAGTTCGTTTCATTTCCTAAATTTGCCACTGGATAACTGTATGAGCTTGACAAATTAGTTAGCCTGTCTGAGTTTCTCATCTGTGAAATGTGGCAGGTAACTTCTACCTTTCAAGGTTGTTGTAAATAGGTGATGTACATAAAATATTTACCTTCGTGCTTGGGACATGTAGTTATTATTGGAACAGGAGAAAGATGCCTATGGGTGGAAAAGTCCTCAGGTAAGTTAATATCCCTGACTACCTAATTTAGGAAAGTCTGTCCTTCCCAAGAATAATTCTCAACTCTGACAAGAAGTTATGAAAACACTTTTGGGGTTTAGAACCTTGCTAATGGCACTGAACGGTTCTGCAAGGAATCAGTATCATTGCCCACACACTAGCTAAGTTCATCCCTCATTAGTAATGTGCGCCTGCAGATATTATGTCTTTGCTCTATCTTATCTCCACTAGGATGCCATCCAAGAGAACATGTAAGTAAAAATCTAGTTGTTGTGTCTTGCTGTTAGCTGAGCAATTGTAGGGACACATTTACTAGTATCTGGTGAAGAATTGTGATAATTAAAATTCAGCTATACTAATTAAAACAAATGAACAAAGTCTGTTTAATGCCCTTTTCCTTACAATCTTTAATTTCTGTTTTGCTTACTCCTGACTTTGCAGAATTATATAGTTTAAGCTAAACATCCTTGACAACTGAGTTGCCAATTAAGGTTAAATGTATTACACTAACGTAAGTTGAACGAGCCACAAGAAGTACTCTATCTAGGCTGAAGAATGGCCAACTTTGAATGACCAAATGGCACTTTCTAAACTTAGACCTGGGTTTTACTGGGGGTGTTGGGCATTCTTTCTTCAAATCGCAAGAGGAAAACAGTTTACAATTGAGCCTGCACTTGGGGCTTGTTTATTGCCTATAATTATTCTTCCTCTTCAAGATTACAGTTGAGCATATTTTACATCCTCCTCCTTTTCCTTTTCATTCTTATCAAGAATTATTTACTGAGCAGCTATTATGGCCAACACACTAAGCCAAATTTTGAAATATCCAAAGATGTAAGACAGAATCTCTGCCCTCTGTATTTGCTTGGGCAGTTTAGTTATACAGAGGGGATGGAAGAGCCTTATAGAAGGTCATTTTTGATGATGAATGCCAGATAAGTTTCTGTATAAAATATTCTGTATCGACAGTTTGGTAAAAGAAACTGAGCCTTTTGGTCTCCTCCATTAACAGTAGGTGAAAACATTTTACTTGCCTTCAATTTTCTCAGATCACAGCAGGTGCTGCTCCCTGATCTACCTTTTCTATGGGCAGTAAAAGTCTAAGGTGTCATTTGGAATTTAAGAGTCATGCTCCATTAACACTAATGAGTGACTTATGGTTAAATCTTCATGGATTGGCCTGAACATCTCCCTGTAGGTATTGGTTCACATTTCATTTCAATGGGCATCACACCAGCCTGCACTAAAATTGCTTGCATCATTTAACCTGTGAGGTTGTCCAACAAACCCATGATTGATAGTTTGGAAAGTATTCAGCTTAGTCCAGCCTGTTACTGAAAATTTCCTGGTTTCCTGGTTATAGTTTCATGTTCAGGTCAAATACAATTATAAATTTCCAGGTCCTAATCGTTTCCTGCAGTACTTGGGTCAATATACTGTATATGTGGAATAGTATGACTTTTAAATGACTGTGCTAACAATAATGGAAGCATACAAATTTACTTCTAAAAGCTAGAGGTTTAAGCTAAACATCCTTGACAACTAAGTTGCCAAACTATACATATGTAAGAAACTATACATAGTTGATTTTGTAATGGTTTATAAAATAACCTTCAAATTCACAGGCATGTGGGTGAGCAATTTTTAAAATGCCTTAATGAGCAACATAAGAGACTCCAAAAATCCTGCTTCTATTTCCCACATAAGTCTGAATAGTGCTTATATTAATTGTATTTACCTTGATTGCAAATTTAATGTCAGGACACATTGTTTGGACACATTGTATAATTCAAGGTCAATAAGAAGGTGTTTTGTTACATGATTTAGTCATGAGCCACAGCTTGAGGCATCACCCTCCTACCACTAATGAGTTGCCTCCAGGTTTTCCTCTATAACCACAAGATTCTGAACCTTTGAACTGCTCCAGGGGTGGGGGTGTCTTTTTGCCTGTGTGTTTGCTCTTTCATTTGGGGAACTGGTCGTCTACCACTTTTTCCTAACAAATCAAGTGAGTCCCTGTTGCAGTCTGGCTGTTAGACTGGGAGCCATTAATAATTGGCAATTTGTAGCTGTCATAATGATGCTGGGGATTTTCCAGATGGCTTTTCCCTTTCTCTTGAGAAGGACTAAGACTTGTGCTTATTCCCTTTGATGGGGTTTTAATCAACAGACATTGGTCATGACCCTTGACTCACAGTAGAAACAGGAGTCACATGCTTGCCAGAGCTTTGCTTTTCTGATGAAGGAACAAGGCTACAGGAGGGCAGGTATAGGATGTTTTAGGATAAAGATGGTGGAAATATTGGAGCGAGTGGGATTGTGAATTTAAAAAACAATTGGCCAGTGGGTATGGTTAGTGGGTACAAAAATACATTTAGAAAGAATAAGACCTACTATTTGATAGCACAACAGGGTGACTATAGTCAATAAAAACTTAATTGTACAGTTTTAAATAACTAAAAGAGTGTAATTTAATTGTTTGTAAAACTGAGGATAAGTGCTTGAGGGGATGGATACCCCATTCTCCATGATGTGATTATTATACATTGCATGCCTGTGTCAGAACATCTCATGTACCCCATAAATATATACAAATACTATGTACCAACAGAAATAAAAAATAAAAAATTGCCCAATTAAACTTTAAAAATAACTAAGTCAATTTTAAAGGGAATAGAAGCAGGAAGTTGAGAGCATTATGTCTCCTTTGGGCCTACCTCGGTGCAAATCTTGGGTAGGCACTTAAGTTTAAATTAGAAACAATATGGTAGTTTCTACTATTATTTTTATAGCAAATAATTTTCTCACATCCAAATTTGTTCACCTTCTTGTCCCTCCACATCGCTCACTCAATCTTAAGAAAAAGAGAAGAAAAATGTGTTCTTTATAAAGTTTTACATTTTAATGTTCCCGGAGGAACATTCTACTTCAGCGTGGGGACAGTGGTGGTTGGAAAGTCTCTTTCCTGTGGAGCTGATGAATGTCCCAGCGTCAAGCTGCTTTCCGCCTTATAGTCGATGTGCACAGTCTTCCCTTGGTCTAAACTCCTGTTCCTAGGCTTTCCTTTAGGACTCTGCTTAGACGTTACCTCCTTACCTGCTTTCCTTGACCTGCTCTGTCTACATCAGCTCCTCCCCACCCTGCCCGTGACACCCTCAGCCTCCTGACTCTGCTCCTTTCTCCTTCATAGTGCTCATCCCTCCCATGTAACTGCACATTGTCTGCCTCTGCCACCAGGAAGGAAGCTCCGTGAGGACAGGCACTGTGTCTCTTACTGTTATACCCCCAGGTACTGGTACCTTATAGAGACTGAAAAACCATAAATTGGATGAGTGTATTCATGTTCCACCTTAGGCTCAGAATGTAGAACCTGAGCCTCTAAAGCATGCAGCTCTCCTCTGCTTGTTGCATTATCATGGATCATCTATTCCCCAATGTGCAGTTTCCCACATTTCAACATTTCTAAAATCAGGGTACATATTAAAAACACACATTTAATGTGGTAGTGGTTCCCACCCCTCAACTGATACACAATTAAATGTGTCTTAGAATCAAGAACATCATGGTAGACAGAAAAATGATGCCTTCCCCCAAGATATTCATGTCCTAATCCCTGAAACCTGTAAATATGTCACCTTACATGTCAAAAGGGACTTTGCAGATGTGATTAAATTAAGGATCTTCAGATAGTGAGCTTATCCTGGATTATTCTAGTTGGCTCATGTATTCACAAGGGTCTTTATAAGAAGGAAGAAGGAAGGTCAGAGTCAGAGAAGATACGATTATTGAAGCAGAATTTGAAGCAATGTGGGTCCACAAGCAAAGGAATGCAGGCGTCTAGAAGCCAGAAATGGCAAGGAAAGGAATTCTCTCTCCCTTAGAATCTACATAAAGAACACAGCCCTGCTGACCCATTTTAGATTTACTTCTGACCTCTGGAGCTATCTCATCACAAATCTGTAGTGTTTTAAGTTTGTAGAAATTTGTAACAGCAGCAATAGGAAACGAATACAGACATGCTATTACAAGCAATAGCATATATTGCATTCTGGAAATTTCAATGTCCCGTTTTATAATCTTCTTGTACATTGATAAGTTATGTTATTGATTTTATCTCTCTGGTAACAAAATGTCATTGATATTTCAGGATCCAGACAGGGTATAATTGTGGAATCTTTGATGCCATTTTGCAGTTGCTGAAAATGCCCCATTCATATCCTCTTGACCTACATCAGAGGTCGCCTGTAGTTAGTTCCTACAATAGAGTGAACAATCATCCCAGAAGAATCAATGCCTGGGACTTATGAGTTCTCAGGATGCAGCACTTTCCGTACTAAAATCATGAAATTCCTGGGCAAACAGAGATGGGTTGTTCACCCTACTTGTACATGGGGTGGCTACCTGCATATGATGAGGATGTTCTTTGGCTATAGGCCCCTCCCCTTCAGATATACGTGGTGGGAATTAACACTGCAGAAACATTTCTCAAACAATGAAGAGTGAGAGTTGGTGGCTATGTATCCAGCTTCCCTGATTCCCAGTGGGAACATTCTGAGGCATGTTTCATGTAATCTTCCAGACTGAACCCAGTTGCCCACAGCACTCATCAATGACCCTCTTATTGGCTCACCTTCCTTCCTTGTCTTACTTCTTCAACACTCACCATGCTTCCTGGATTACTTACCAAGTAAAGTATTCGCACTCTGTCCTTGTCTCATAGTCTATTTTTGGATGAACTCAAACTAGGACACCACCTTAGCCTCAAGAGTCTTACATAATGTGTGCAAAATGCTTAACATAAGCCCAAATATATGAACCCTGTTTTCCCCTTGAGCTTCCCTCCTGCTATCCTTTCTCTTGCTCACCAGCATCAACTACACCAGCCATGACTCAGAAGCTCCTCTGTTCCCCATTCCTTCCTCAACATAGGCATTTTCACTTGTTGCCTGAATGTTCCTGTCATGGTCATCCTTTAGGTCCCCACTTGAATGTCACTTCCTCATAGACTCTTCTTCTCACCCTCCAGACTATGAATGACTTTCCATGATCCTCCTGTGCTTTCCTTCATGGTACGTGCTCCAAATGACATGAGTCAATTATGAGGATGATTGTCTGTTTATATGTGGGTCTTGCAAAGGACCCGAACACACTAGTATCACATGGCATGAGTATAAAGTAAGGTTTACTGGAAAAGCACAGGCAAAAGGGTCATCATGGTGCATGTGTTCTTGTGCTCTGTCCTCTGGCCGACTAGCTGAGATGCAAGCTGGGCTAGGCACATCTGGACATATTGTGGGAAGTGCTCCAGGAGAGGGACCTTGCTGTGTACCATTGTACAAATTTATAAGGAAACTAGAAGAGGCAGGGACATCTAGTCAATGTGTGATAGTAGAAGCTTCCTGGACAGAGAGTTGATGGCCTTATTAGATCAGCACTTAGCCAGGAGATGTATCATCCCAATTTTTGTGTGTGTGTGTGTGTGAGATGGAGTCTCACTCCGTTGCCCAGGCTGGAGTACAGTGGCATGGATCTTGGCTCACTGCAACCTCTGTCTCCCAGTTTCAAGCAATTCTCTTGTCTCAGCCTCCCGAGTAGCTGGGACTGCAGGTGTGCGCCACCACGCCTGGCTAACTTTTTGTATTTTTAGTAAAGATGGGATTTCACCATATTGGCCAGGCCAGTCTCAAACTCCTGACCTCATGATCTGCCCGCCTCAGCCTCTCAAAGTGCTGGGATTACAGGTCTGAGCCACCATGCCTGGCCCATCCCAATTTTTAATGGAAAATTCCATTAGTTAAAAAAATTTGAGTTTGTACTTCGAGCATATGTATATTTATTTATACGTTTATACAAGCACCACTGTCAAGCTAAATGTCAAATTGCAGAGAAGCTGAATTTCTTCTTGAAGATAATAATAAAAAATAAATAAAAATAAATAGAAGCTGAACAATATCTTTCCATATGGTAATAGATCACATACCACACTTTGAAGATTATTGCCCTTGAGCAGTGCTTTCATGAGCAGACAAATCACCTGGGGAGCTTGTGGTTTGTGAACTGGACTTTCAGTAGTCAGGCTTTAAAGCATCTTGCTTTCCAAATATTTATAAGCCACTGACATTTATATGCTCAGGTTAGACAGGGTGAGATGGTCTTTTCTGTTATTTTGGAATAATTGTCTTCTGTCTCATGCCCTGATCTTACCAGGCAGAATCAGTGCCATGTGTGCAAACTTCACTGTGTTGCCCACTGGAAAATATACAAAGTGAAGAGCAACTGGGCAGGGTGAAAGTTTGTTGACTCTTTATTTCTCCTGGCCTTTGAAATCTAATTATCTATTTTTATTCCTTTGAAGAGATTGCAAAAACACATGGAACCCCACAAACAAGCTCTACACTGGGTGCTTTTCCTGCGCCATTTCATTTCATATCTTGCTATAACAGCAGAAACCAGCCTGAATATAAAGAGATGCTGTGTGTATGTGTGTGTGTGTGTGTGTGTGTGTGTGTAAGGCTTGGCCTTCCCTTCTGACCCTCTATTTGATCTGCTGTGAGGGATGGGGCAAACCACTCAAGCTCCCTGTGCTCTGGGATGTGGGGAGGATTTCCCAGTCAGTGACAGAGTCTGAGTGATTTGTAGGCATTTGTGTGCTCATTGTCTTGCCCTCTAGGCATCTGCAGTGTTGTATCAGGAGGGCAAGAGGGTTCCAAATAGATTTAATATTCCTTGTATGAGCTTCGACCATCTGCCCGCCAGCTCACAGTGTGAGCATAATGTATGTTTCCAGAATCAAACACAAAGAGCTTATTTTTTTCCCTTTCTTTTCATTTTTTTTCAAAGCCTTTTAATTTAGATCATTTGTGTTTTCTTTGTCTTTTGGAATAGGTTACTAGGGTCAGCCTTTCTGCAATTATATTTACTCTCATTTTGTTTTCTGATGCCCCTGGCATATTTAAATTAATGGTTTCCCCTTTCCTAATCTCCATCTAGCCCCCACAGAGTGTATCCCTTAAATAAACATCTATAAAATCTTGTGATGGAGCCTATGAGATGATTGGAATTAAATGACAGGTTTTTCCCAGTGGGTGCAGATTAGACCATGGATACCTGAAAATTATTCCCAGGCTAAATCTGAGTGCTGTTTTCCTGAGGGATGAAACTTTGGCTTTTCTTCCTCCTTCGAGAGAAATGTTGTGACTGTTGATGGGCCTATTCTAGTAGCTGTAGCTCATTGTACGACCAGAGTTATTTGGGTATTGGGTCTTTGAACTAAAATCCCTTTCTCATTTTTTAAAAGGTAATTGACATGAGGGATCTTGAGCTCTTAAAGAGAGGAATATAAGCTGAGTCAGTCAAATGGAGTTTTTATCTTAAAATCTCACTTAGGTTAGAAAAATTTGGTAGCAGAATTTGGAAAACTCTTTAATTTACATGAAAGTTGGGTGGGGATACCACTGCTATTCTCCTAGCATTATTCAGCAAGCAGGTGTGGGCAGGCGTGACAACAGTGAAGTAAACTTGGAATACTTTCTTGTGAAGGCTTAAGGGCATAGGGATCAAAATTCTTCAGGTCTGCTTATTTTTATTCTGTCAGCAAAATTGGCATGGTTTTGCATTAGACAGTGCATAATTAAAACTGCTTCCTCTTTAAACTCATTCCATATTTCCCTCTCACCCTATGGTGAGGCTGAGAGAGCCTGATCCCTTGCTGCTCTTCTAGTCTAAGGATGATGGGATGCCAGGTGAGGATGTGGGTATGGAGGACTGCCTGGATGCCTATTCAGGCTCCATGTCTTCCTAGCTCTGTGACCCTGGGAAGGTAATCAGCATGTCATGCTGTATTTTCCTCAGTTGTAAAGTAGGGATTATGAAGGTATCACCCAAAGGAGTTGATGACATGATCAATTGTAATAATTGCATAATAGTATATGTAGAGGGCTTAGCACAGTGCCTCCCACGTAGTAGCATGCTGGCTATTGTTACTGTTATTATAATGCTACAGAAATGAAGCATGGGGAAAAATGGACCTGTTGATTCCAGATCATGACTTGTTCTGTTTGGCTCTGGAAGATGACTGAAACACACCTCTGCCCATGGAGAATTGAGAGGTGCTGAAGAACGAGAAAACAGAAATAGTATAAAAGAAAAAGCTTTGGTTTAAATATCTGGCTGCTATAGAACTCCTGGAGGTATGTGGTTGGGTGGGAACTGTCTCTCCTTTTCAGGCTGGTGCAGGATTATCCTTGCTCACTCCCCAACACCCTCAGGTGTTTAGATTTGGTCTGACTCCAGTCATTTCTGACCTATATTTGTTGTGAGACTGATAGAGCCCTCTATCAATGGTGACAAAGGGGTGACCTTGTCTAGAATTCTTTAATCTCACCGAGTATCAAACACAGAGCAGATCTGGACCTCTGCAGATAGGGAGAACTGAGACTGAGCCAAAGTTTAGGGGATGGGGTGGATCTGATCTGGCCAGAGCCAAGAGCCTGTGCATTTACTTGTCCCAGTTTCCTCTCATGTGGACTGTTAGGATGGTGGGCCAGTCCAAGAAGGGGTGGAAGCAATGAAATGCAAATAAAATTGGTATTTGCCTCACGTCCCTTCTGGGTGATTTTTTTGATCTTTAGGTTTCCCATAGAGGACCCAGGCTAGCTCACTGTTCAGCACTATACCTGCTGCGGCTCTGCTTTACAGAAGCTGGCTCCCTCTCTCTGCTCCATTGCCTGTGACCTTTATGCTCTTTGATCTCTGCAGCCACCATTGCTCACTTGGAAGTGCAGAGTCCTGGCTCTGATGCTTCCTTACCTGCTATCTAGCTATGATCCTACTCACTGCTGCCTGTTGGTGCATTTGGCTCCAAGGGCTCCAGATTGATGCTTTACTTCCTGCCCAAGTGAACATTGGCTCTCCACTCTTGAGCTGTGGTTCCTAAGGGGGTGGCATAGCCTTGATGCCACTGTGGGTTTTGTTGTTGTCACATAGTACCAGTCTCCTCATTGTCACTAGTGTTGGCCCAGGCACTCCCACCATCACTGTGGTGAACCAGGCCCTTTGCCACAGCACAATGACTCTTACATCAAGTCCCAAACTGACGAGACGGGTGCCTTATTCTCTTAGTCTATTATCACATCAGTAATATTGTAAGTTTTCAGTGTTCTTCAGTTTCTTTGGGCTCATTTTCTCCAGGCTGTGCCTCTCCTGTGAGTCATAATACAAGTTTCCTCCAGGGCTGGATTAGGAGGGAACTGGCATCACACTGAATGACTTAACTCCTTAAACAGCCTAACCTCCTTTGGTGCTGACCATTAGCTGATTAGACTGACCTGCATCTTGGATCTTTTCCATATTAGAGAATGTCTCCTTCCCATCCAGGACAGCCAGAGCAGGGGTGGAAAGGTTAGGTCTATCTGTTTGCTCATTAAAGAAGCTCTGGTCATCAGTTTCAAGATATACTGCAAAGATTCTCCCAGGGAGTCCTATTATAGTGTTTCAACTAAGGAAACTTAGGTGGCTTACTGTGCCAGGACCTCAAATTGTTATATAAAAGGAGTAAGCTTGGCTGTGATGTGGGAGTGGTACCCTGAATCCATGATGCTGAGTTCTTTTCCCTTCCTTCATTGGTCTTTCCCTTCCTTCTTTTCTCTTTTTTTTTCACCTTGTTCAGAGAAAAGTTCATTTTTCAGTCAAAGTCTCAGTCCAGCATGGTGCTGGGGCAATGACTCAATGGAAAGAGCATGTGCTATCTATCAGGAGATTTAGAATCTGGCCCCAGCTCGACCAATATAGTAGCTGTGTAAACTTGGTCAAAAAACTTAACTTCTCTGTGCCTCTGATTCTTCAACTGTAAACTGGGATATGAGACAGAGAGAGAGAGAGAGAGAGTGAGAATGAATGAATGTGTATGTAGTGGGCATTTGATGAAATGATCTTAAAAACACTCTCTTTTTAATGGATATTGGCTTCTAGCAACTAGTGATAGAAAAGGCCTGGTATACATAGGCTTTGCCACCCACATTCTTAGGCAGAATGGGGGCCCAGACAGACACCACATGCTTGCTTACTGTACCAAGAAAGAAATGAAGCAAACATTAAATTTAAATCAATAGCATTACTTGAACACAGAAGACAAAACTGTTTTCCCCCAAATTGTTTTGATTGCTGTCAGTAGCTGCTATTAGGTATGAAATCCATTCAGATCATCAAAAACCAGAGCAACATACAATGCATGAAAAGCTGTTGTAATTGGCACCATTGTAACTCTATACGGTGTGTGATCTTAGCTGGGAGGAGGGAGAATTGTAGGATAACTTGTAATCTAATTTTCTTTGTTGTAAAATAGAATGTTACCATTGTATTTCTGTGGAATAATAATTATAACATCTCACACAAATAGAGTGCCTTTCTCAGGAGGTGCTTAAAGAGCTCAACAGACATTCATTCAACCTTGTAAACATAGTAAAACCTGGCTTGCTTGCATTTCTCTCAACTGAAAATTCCTATTAACCAACATCTTTCCTCATCCATCCTACTGGGATACATGATTTTTATAGTGGTGAACCTGACACCCTGAGAGACACTGAGGTGCCTTCTGAATCATCTACCTTTGGTAGACCTTCAATGTTAATTGCAATTTATGACAGCCTAATTTTTTGGAAAGTGGTAATTCATATGTTGCAGAGATGATAATTAGTCAGAATAGTTGGTTAATCAGACTGCTCTATTTCCTGACCATACTGAAGTACTGAGTTTACAATAACTAACATGGGATCTCCCTCTAAGACCCACAAAGGAAGCCGGGTAAATGAAAGCAGTGTTCTTTATTACTTGGCAGGCATAAATTACCCAGAATTAATCATTCTGGGCAAATGACAATTTCCAAAGGTTGATTCTTCAACTTCTACATTCTCTTGTAAACTAAATGAGATGAGAAAATAAGTATGTTTTAAACATAGATTTCACTTGCCTCTTAAGACTTTCCCATTTCTAGTTATTAAGGCTATTGTTGATAACTATTGGCTCTTAGCAGCAATGGTGAGTGTCTTTAAAATCAAATTTTGGATGATGTTTTGTAGAACCTTTTCACAAGCACCAGAGATTTCTTCAAGAGAGTGTCAGTGCAGTAGATTTAGTTGTGTTAATTGGTCCATCCTAAATGTTTTATTAAAGTGATAAGATCTTAAATCAATTAAGATTAACATGATGACTAAAAAAAGTCTAAGTTCTTAATTATGGAATTGTAAAAAGTATTTAAATTGGTATTACACTCACGTTTACTGCAGAGAATCTAGAAAATTAAGGAATATATAAAGAAGAAAATAAAAATAATCCATAATTTCATCACTTACAGAGAACTATTATTGCCTTTTGGTGTATTTCCTTCCATTTTGGTCCTAATGTATGCGTACCATGTAAGTATTTTATAAATTTAGAATATGCTACATATACTGTATGCTGCCCCCTACTAACATTACCTACAGGCATTTTCTAGGTCATTAATTATTCTTTTAAAACATACTAGGTTTTGATTATATGTACCATGGTATATTAAGCCACTCTCCTGTTGTTTTTATGGTTTACAAATTTTAGCTTTATCATGCTGTAACAAGTATCCCTGTTCATTTGTTTGTCCATCTGTTTGTCCATGTATTTAAACAATTTTTATTGAGTATTGTGTGCCAGGCTTTGGGCCATGAGCTGAGGATATATCATTAATCATCACCCTAGTCAGAGTTAACGTATTACTATTATGTAGTATGGACCAGGTCCTCTATTAGTATTCATATAATAATTATATGAATCATTCTAATAAGTGAGTATAATAATATTACCTAATTAAGTTCTTATGAGGTATTATTATCCTTGTTTTCCAGATGAGGAAATGGAAGCTTAGAGAATTGAAGTGACTTGCCCAAGATCACTCAACTGGCAATTGGCAGAGCCAGAATTCAAGCCCAGGCAGCCTGAGTTCAGTCCTAGCCTTTGAACCATGGTGGTTACTGTGTCAGTAGAAAAGACACTCACTTGCCCTTACAGACAAGACACAATTGTAAATGCAAAAATGTTTGAGCGATTCTCTGATTATTTTCTTAGGATAAATTCTACAAATGGAAATACTGGGTAAAAAAGTATGAACAACGCTTCCAGTAAATGATACTGCAGTCACAGTCCTAAGTGGGGAAAGACCATAGATGATAAGATTATTTTTTGGTTTGCTTTCCTTTCTTTTCTTTTTTGTCCTGGGTCTCTGTCCTTGCTCTACCAATGACAGGAAGAAATAGACATGGTAGTGATTCAGGCCTGGGCATGCCCTGGAGAAAGTCTGGGCAATGCTCTTGCTGTTCAGTGGGTTGCTGCTTTCAGACATGTTTATTTCCTCTACAAGATGCAAGACATCACAGAGGAGAGGGCATGGGGAGAAAGAAACCATCAAAGGAATGAGTCTAGATTGCAAGTAATGTATAGCCTCTTAAGATGACTGTCACCACAAGAAAATGCATCTGCTCAGTAAAAATCACCAGGTTCAGTTAAATATATATATTTCATACATACATATTTAATAGCTGCTCCTTGCAGAGCAGGGCTAACTCCTAGGCAGCGTGCCCAGAGTCAGCCTAAAGACTTAAAAAAATTCAATTAGTATTTAGTACAGTTTCCCTTGTGCCTAAACCATAGATTATTCATATACGGCAAGTGACTACCTGTAAATATTCCCCATGCTCCTCATTATTGCACACCCCTTCTCAAGTCCCTCTTTCTCAAATGAACATTATCCGTCCTTTGCCCTATCTCCTAGTGCTCAGCACAGACTTGATTGATGGCTGTTCTAGGTTTGATTCCTGGCTCTGCCATTAACCCTCTGTGTGGTCTTGGATTCTCAGTTTCTCCCCTTTAAAATAATAGAGTTGTAGTGTCAATCAAATGAAATGCCATGTGTAGACAAAATAGCTAATCTTTATTGAGTTCTTATTATTGGTACCACAAAATAAAATACCGTTCTAAATGTTTTAAATACACACCTTTACTTATTCCTCAAAATAATCATGCGGTAAGCAGGAGTCTACGTAGCTCTTATGATCTTCACCCTGGAATTACTTCTGTGATTATAGTACATGGCAAAAGCAACTTTGAAGATGTAACTAAGGTGACTAATGAGCTGACCTTAGAATAGAAAGATTATCCAAGTGGGCCCAATGTAATCATATGAGACCTTTAAGTGGTAAACATTTTCTCTGGCTGTTGGCAAAAGAGGAAGTCAGATTTGAAGCATGAGAAGGATTCAATGCAGTTTCTCCTTGAAGATGAAGGAGGCCGCATAAGGAGTCCAGGAAGCCTCTAGAAGCAGAGAGTGGCTTCTGGCTGACAGTCAGCAAGAAAACAAGGACCTCAGACTTACAGCTTCAAGGAGCTAGATTCTCCCAACAACCTGAAAGAGTTTGGAAGTGGCTTCTTCCCAGAAACTCTAGGTAAGAGGCCAGCCTGGTTGGTTTTAGCCTTGTGAGACTCCAGGCACAGAACCCACATGAACCCACCAGACTTCTAATCTACAGAACTATGAGACAATAAATGGGCATTGTTCTAAGCTGCTAAATTGTGGTAATTTGTTATGATAGCAATACAAAACTAATATATACCATATGTGGTAGGTACCTTTATTATTAAACCCATTTTGCAGATGAGAAAACTGAAGTACAGAGAAGCAAAGTCACTTTTCTTTCACATTATGTCTTAGGCAATTTTGTGCTGCTATAACAGAATACCACAGATTGAGTAATTTATAAAAACAGACATTTATTTCTTACATTTCTAGAGGCTGGGAAGTACAAGATCAAGGCTGGCATCTAATGAAGACTGCTGTCTGCTTCCAAGCTGGTACCTTGAATGCTATATCCTCTGGAGGGGAAAAATGCTGCTGCATCCTTACATGGCAGAAGACAGGACAAGAGGGGAGAACTCCCTTCATCAAGCCATTTTATAAGGACACCAATCTCATTCATGAGGGTGGAGCCCCCATAAATCAATCACTTCCCAAAGGCCACACCTCCAATACTGTTGCATTGGGGATTACATTTCAACATGAAATTTGGAGGGGATGAAAATGTTCAATTCATAGCAGTATCAGAAACGGGATTTAAATGGAGGTAGTCTGCCCCCAGAGCCCATGTTCACCCTAGTGACATGGTGACTGAGACATTCATAGGTACTCGTTACATATTAGTTCTCTTTCCTTTTTAGTATAGCCCGGGGGTACCTTGCTGCCACATTTCTTGATTTCACTGCTGGGGGTTAGCTGGTGGTGTGGCAGGGTTCTGGAAAACACAGAATAAAAATAACATACTTGGAGCATTAGTTTTAGTCATGGGGGTAGGTCTTTTTGTTTTATAACGAACCTGAATATTTTGTAGGTTAGAATGCAGAAGTTAAAACCAGATAGAAAAAGTTTGAGAAGCACTGAGATGATGTATTCAAATGAATTTAGTTTAACATCTTTCCTTCCTCTTTTATCCCTTAAATTCACAGTGAATTAGTTGCACCAGCTAGAACTCTGGAATGGCAATTAAGGAAATTGGGACCCAGCTATTCATCACCATCTATCTTCTATTCATCCCGTCCAACGAGTATTTATAGGGTGTCTACTCCATGTCCTGGGTGTCACTGATACAGTATGACTTGAAGTAATGAAAACTTTTCCAGTTCTGTTTCCTTGCATATCAAATCAGGTGATTTGACACAACTTTCTCTAGGGTCGTGTCTGTCACCAATCTAGTGTTTTCCCAGTCCTTGAAAGTTTATGTCAGCATTTTTTTTACATAGTAGGGCCATGTTTCCCAAAGTAGAGCCTGGATACCATCTACATCGGAATCTCCTGAGATGGTCCAGGATCAGAATCAGAATCACTGATTCAGAAACATGGGTTGGGGGCCCAGGACCCCTCATTTTAAACAAGCTCTATAGGTCAGGTCATTCTTATGCACGTTAAAGCTTGAGATGTACAACTATGGGGGTGCAGAATAAATATACAATATAGGCCTGGTCCTAAAAGTCTTTTTTAATGAAAAGACATTAGCTGGGTGTGGTGGCGGGTGCCTGTAATCCCACCTTCTCGGGAGGCTGAGGCAGGAGAATCGCTTGAACCCGGGAGGCGGAGATTGCAGTGAGCCGAGATTGCACCACTGCACTCCAGCCCGGGCAACAGTAAGAGACTCCGTCTCAAAAAAAAAAAAAAAAAAAAAAAAAGGAAGAAGAAGAAGAAAAAACAGGGCCATCAGGGCCATACCTGTTTCAGTCTCCATGCCGGTCCTTGGCTCTCCGGCCGGAGCCAAGGACAGGGAGGGAGCTGTGATCATGGAGCGTATCCTGCCCAGGCCCTAGTGCCTACAGTCACCTTTCCTCTTTTGGGGCTTACCTGGGTCTGCCCCTTTCACTGGTTTGGGATAATGTGAGAACAGGAGGGGGAGTTCCTCCTCCGAGGCTTAGGGAGCTTTCTCCCTTTCCCAAAGGAAGGGTGGGGCGGCGCCGGCCAGTGCAGGAGCTCCTGCGGGCCACTGGCATCTGGCAGCAGCGACTCTCCCGGGTCAGTCAGCAGAGCGAGGCGCCCGCCTTTCCACCTCCGTGAGTGCTGCCGAGGGGAAAACTGGGGAAGTGGGTCAGCCCGGCGGCTTCCATCCACAGACCCTCCCCCGCCCCGGCCGCCCGCTCTCCCTCGGAGCTTAAGGCGTCTGCTCCCGCCCGGCAGTGTTGCAAGAGTGGCCCTGCCCAGGCGTGGGTCGGGCCGGTGTCTGCGCCAAGGCGCTGCGCCCGCCGGCTGCCCTTGCTCACGCTTGGCGCCCATCCTGAGGCGCCGTTGGCCCTCCCGCCACCCCCTCGGCGGGGCCCTTCCCTTTACTATGGTAATAGTGACATTCAGAGGAAAAGGCTAGCGCGGCGACGGCGCCCCGGCTCCCGCAGAGCGGAGGCTCGGGCTGCGGACGGGGCTGCGCGCACTCGCACCGCTGGACGCCGCGGGGCGGGCGGCCGCCGAGCTCTCCCCGCCCGGCCCAGCCCCTCCGCCGCAGCCGCGGGGCAGCCCCGAGCCACGGCCCCGGCTGGCGGGCGGGCTGCGGGCAGGATCCTGGCGCTCGGGCTCTGGCAAGGGGAAAGGACAGAAACGGCGCATCGGGAGGGACCCTGCCTCACCGCTTGTATATGGCAAAGTTTCTCGCCGAGCTCCTGGGCTGCACGTTGCCGAGCAAGGGCGCCTCTCCCATGTTTGAGGTAGGTGGAGGGTGTGTCCCCTCAGGGACCCCTGGCGGGCCTGGGGGTCTTCCGCTAGTTGACACGTGTGCTGGCTCACCTGCCTGGTTTCCACCTGGCCATCGGGCGGGACGGGGCAGGGGAGGAGGGCTAGGCGGAGACCTGGACCTCTGGAGACGGGTTTCTCACTCCTGGACCTCAGTGAATCTTTTTTGGGGTTTTTTCCCCTTCCCAGTTGACAGGTGAACACGTTTTCTGTCAATCTGGCTGAGTTCTGCCAGTTGCTCTTTACCTAAAATGCCAGAGATGTCTAAAAATGAGCAGTATCCTGCAGTCCTCTTTGCTGCCTACTTTATTTTTTTCTTTTAGTCTGAAAACAACAGAAAAATCTTCCGGTCAAAAGGTTTCCACCTTCTTACCTCCTCCAACTGCTCCCCTCCCCCAATCTCCAGCACAGGGCAAACTCCATTAAAGTTAACTTGTGTCTTCTGTGAATGAGATACACTGGGGATGAGGAGGGTTAAGAAGGGATTTGCCAAATCAGGTGAACAAATAGCAACTCCTAAGGCAAGTTCATCTAATTGCTCACAGCTGCCTGCGGTGGCAATGCTGCTGCTGTGAGGTATCTCCGCACGGGAGTCATTTAGGAGACGGCTGGCTGGCTGGCTGGCTTTCCTATATTGACCACTCAGTCGGGAGAGTTTCATACTGTACAACCCTTCCCCGCCCTCCTTATCTCTACAGTAAGAGCAGAGAGTGTCCTTTGTCTTTCTACCCCGCCCTCCCTCAAGAGATTGCCTAACACACCGTCCTGACCTAGAGTGCTGAGGCATTGGCCAGGTTAACCAGTGCTGCAGTCTGCGTTGCACTGCTCTCCACTATCAGTCATGGTCACTGTAGCCTGATGACTCTCCCGGCCAGCCACTCCAGGAGCTGCCCCAGGCTTCCCTGTCTGCAGTTTCTTGACTGGCCAGAGAAACACAACTTGGTCTCTTCTCTGGTGAACGCAGGAGTTTGTCCTTCAGCAAGGCACCTCTTCTGGTTCCAGAATCTTAATATGTTCTCTGGCTGTTCTCACCTTTGGCACCTGTAGCCGTTCTTACCTTCTGAGATTTTATGGTCACATACCTTAGATTTTGAAGCTCAAATTACCCAACCCATAACCTCTGCTGTGTGACAAAATGGCCTTTAAGCAGGGAGATCCCAATAGTAGGTGATAAGGAGGAGCTGGGGAAACAAGAGTGGGGTGGGAGAAGCCAGGCTGAAAGGCCTGGGCAGTTGGTAGCCTGAAACCTACAAAATAATGAAGAGCCTGGAAAAGTTAAGTTTTCCAGACCTGCAGTGAAAATTAGCTGTCACCTTTGGCATGCAACATCACTGCCCATTTGCTGCTCTGTGAAGTGTTATGTAGCATTTGGGGGTCACTCTGGAGACCTGAGATGCTCCCTTAAGTTGCTTTTCTCTTTGGCTTTCTCTTCACTTGTGTTTGGATTTTTGTTCTTAAATCACCAAATGTGCCAAGCGATTTTGGTTGTGTATACTACCTCTTTTATCCTCCAGCCAATAGATGCCCCATCTTGATTTTTCAGAATGATTGGCTCCTAGTCATTCCAGAGAGGAGGCAGCCTATAAAAACTAGCCATAGACATATTTAGGCAATTACAAAAAATTAGTGGCTGTTTTGTGTTTGAAGAGTTCTCAGGAAGGGGAATTCCCTCAGTCCTTGGTCATGCCTCATGTCTTGCTCTGTGTTATTTTCCACCCATCTAGAGGTAGGAGCTGCTTGTAGCATCTGCCCACTCTGTCTTTCTACAAAGGATTGATTCAGTGTTGGCTGACTCGACCTAACACGTCCCACCTATGTATCATTCTTAATCGGTGTTCCTGGACAAACTGAGTAATCTTCCCTTTCCTACCTTTGGGGAAAAGCAGTGCCCAAAGATGAACTGAATTAGGAATGTGCTTTGAGGATGCTTGCTTCTCAGGCAGTAGCCCCTTCAACACACTCTTGCTCAAAAATGAAGAGGCAGTCGTTTGGGAAGGAGGGAAGGAGAAATGTGTAAGAAAGATATTCTTAAACCTTTCTAAATATTCATTTCCAAAAGTGAAAGTGCTAGGACACTTGAGAAAAATTTAGGCAGCTTTTTATTTTCACCAAATGCTCCAATTCTAACTTTGGTTACCTTTAATTTCAGAGAGATCAGGAGAAGAGATGGATGTTTTTCTAATGAATGGCCTTTTGTTTCATTTTGGTTAGAATGTGGACAATAAAGTAGTTTCTTCCCACTCTGGCCACTTTGGTTTACACAGAGGATATTCTCCCTGAGAACTGAATCTGGGACCTCTTGTGTGTTTGCAGTTGTCTGACAAGAGGGAGTGAGTGACAGGTTATAGAGAAAACAGGGCCAAAAAAGTCACTGTTGTTGAAAAACAGCTCCAGTGTGTGCCCTGCTGCACCATTTTCATAGGCTAGGGACAGAGTGTGTACACTGGAAAACACAAAGTGTCTTAATGATCATTTTGTTACCCTCTTGCCTTGTTTCTTCTTAGTAAAGTATTTAAGTTTGCACACCAAGTTGTTGAGAACAATTAAATTTCTAGAAAAAAGCAAAGGATCTTAAGTTTACCCCAGGGCCATGGCAGTGTCCTGAGCAGTGGGCTGGATATTTGGAATAATGATTGTGCCACACCAAGGCAGAGCACCTAGAGAAAGAATGGGCTTGCTGTGTATTCTGATGTCTAGAAACATAGGACAGAAGCATGCAGGCAGGTGGTTTCAGACCTGGCAGTTCCCTGCGTGCTTGAATGGATGGATACATGGCTGGCCCTAGCAGCCACTCCTCCCTCATGGAGCTCTTAAATATTATGAACCTGCCCCCCACCTCCAGCCCCAGTCTTTCTTTTCATGGTGCCTTAGTAGCTTTTGGCATGGCAGTCAGTGATGGGGTTTGAGTTCCGGGACAAGAAGTGGTGGGAAAATAATATAGTCAGAGGCTGTTGCTTTTTCATCTTTTGTGCCTCTCTTCCCCCAATCCACAAATCTGCATTTTTAAATCCCTGTCATTCTTCATCATCTTACCTGGTGGTACACCTTGAAGAAGACAAATTCATTGGGCTGAACACGTAGAAAAGGGATGTTCAATTCTATGCCACCATTCATGGATGTGGTCTCCAGAATTGACAAACCTCATGTATACTGTATGTGTTTTCGCCTGGTTTTCTATCTCCACTTGTACCGCTGCCTAACTGTGACAATACATAATAATTATCAGTTATTGCCTACTCTGGGCCAGGCATTGTTCTGAAGTCATACTATACATGATCGCAGCTATCCTTCACATAGTCTTATGATATAGGTGTTAACAACCATGTGTTACAGATGAGAAGATTAGGGTTTAGAGAGCTTAAGTAGTTTGCTTAAGATCATTCTAGTAATGTATGCTAGAGAGAGGATGCAAACACAAGTCTGTTTTATCTCAAAGTTCACTTACCTTCTCCATATAGTTACTTGGTATTCTGGAGTTTGTTTTGTTTTGCTTTTTGTTTCACGTTTTTTTCTACCTTTTGTTTTTTAGCTTCGTTCTTAGATATATTCTTTTTGGAAGAAGGAAAGATAATCCCCCATTCTCTCACTGCCCTCACTATGTTACCATTGGGATGTGTATTAGTCAGTTTTCACACTGCTATAAAGAAATTAATTACCCAAGCCTGAGCAGATTCAAGTGCAATTGCCATGACCATTTACAGATAGCTTCTACTTATTGAGCATTTCTGTGTATCAGCTTGTTTTATCACCCCAATAATGCTATGAGGTAAGCGGTATTGTCATCCCTGCTTTGGAAATGAAGAAGCCAAGGCTCAGAGTGATTACATGAATTGTCCAAGGTCACTCACCTACTAAGTGTCTGAATTGTAAGGTAAATCCTGGATTCTGGTGCCACAGTGCTTTGCCAGCCATCTGTATTGACTTACCTAGTTTTGTAGCCTCTGATTTTTCATCTCATCCCCTCTATCTTTTGTACTATTACCAAAATCATCTTTCTAAAAGCTGAACTCAACATGGTGTCCATTTACTTCCCACAAATACTTAAAAAAATTTTTTTTAAGTCTGGCATGGTGGCTCATGCCTGCAATTCTAGTATTTTGGGAGGACAAGGCAGGAAGAGCGCTTGAGGCCAGAAGTTTGAGGCCAGCCTGGGCAACATAGTGAGACCTTGTCTCTACAAAAAAAAAAAAAAAAAAAAAAATGCGTAGTGGCATGTGCCTGTAGTCCTAGCTACTCGGGAGACCCAGGCAGGAAGATTGCTTGAGCCCAGGAGTTCCCAAGGTTGCAGTGAGCTATGATAGTGTCACTGAACTGCACTGCACTTCAGCCTGGTGATATAGTGAGACCCTGCCTCTAAAAAACCCAGTTTTTTTTAGTTTTATTTATTTATGTTTTAGAGATGGGATCCAGCTATGTTGTTCAGGCTGGACTCAATCCCCTGGACTCGAGGGTTCCTCAAGCCTCAGTCTTTAGAGTAGCTGGGACTACAGGCGTGCACCACCACACCAGCTATTTACCCCAGTTCCATTAGTGGTTCACCATATATGCAGATTCAACAGGGCAAACTTCCTCCACAGTATGGTCACTGCCTGGTTAACTTGCCTAATCTTTCCTTCCTACTACTATATTTCTAATATTCCAGCAACTTTACTCCCATTTCTTGATTATGTTCTCTTACCTCCAAGCTGTTCCTCTGCCCAGAATATTCTTCCTCTAATAGTCACCTATTGAAGTTGTATCTTCCTTCGAGGTTCAGCTCAAATCTCACTTCCAGATCCACCCATCTTGAACAATATCCAGGCTCTACCAGAGGCCCACTGAATATTATGTGTGTGTGTGTTTTTTCTGAGACCTTGGACAACTTCCTCTTTGAACTTCTCTATGCTCCAGTTATGTCTTCAATAGGGATAACAGTAGTGCTTAATTCAGGGTGGTGAGTGTTAAACGAGTTAATGCCTGTAAACCACTTAGAATAGTGGTCAATACATGTTAATTTTTGAGACTGTTGCATGTGTCTATGTCCTCTTCAGTGTCAGGAACCATGTATTTCTTAATTCTCTAGTACTTGGCATGTATTTTGAACACAGTTTTGCATCAAATAAATGTCTGATGGATCACATTGATTTTTCTAACCCTCAACATTCATGATTTTCTTTGCCTTTACATTATTTATTGTTTATCTGAAATCCAGATTTAACTGGGTACCTTGTATTTTTATTTGCTAAATCTGGTGACCTCGTCTTACCTTCTCCCTCTTTCCTCCAGAACCCTGCTCCTAGAGTCCAATCCCACTTACCTGTGTAATCCTTGTTCCCATCCTTCTCTATAGCTGCTACTCTACCCAAGATCTTGTCCCTAAGCCAAGAGAGCCACCAATAGGGAGTTGCAGCTGGGTCAACTGTCTGTCCCCACTGCCTCACTGGTATGGAAATGCGGGAGTGAGCAAGCTTCCTATTGCAGTGTCAGGGCTGTGACTGAGAAGTGTATAACTAGCATTCTATGTATTCATGCTTAATGTGGTCACCAATTCATTCAGGCATTCATTTATTCAACAAATCTTAAATACTGTCTTGGTGCTAGGCACCCTATGGAAGCCTTGTTAAGAGACATTCAAACTGTTTTGACTGTGACTCGTGGTAAGAAATATATTTTACATTGCAATCCTGGATTGCACCTATTTACACCTATAACAGTGAAATTAAGTTTTCAGAATAATACTTTTCCTTATGACATGGGATATCCTCTGATCTTTGCAGTTTTATTCTTTCCTTTTCATTCTATTAAAAAATAAACTGGTAAAGACCCACTAAATTGATTTCATGGGTTACGACCCACAATTTGAAAAGCACTGCTATATAGGATAATAAGATTCTGTTTTTACAAAACAGTTTGTATTACCCCATTATCTCAGTATCATATTTATACATTATTACACTATACTTTGGGAGATTCTTGTGGTCTATCTTGGGAAACCAGTTACCATGTAATAACATTATTTTTTGGGGGAGAAAATGTATTCAGAGTTTCAAACTACTAACTTGCCAAACAACATTTGATAAATATCCTGCCTCTAAATTAGGAGGCATTTGGGTAAAAGATTTGGCATATTACCCAAACATATTTTATTGCATAGTTTTTTATTTAAACATTGTGCCTGAATTTCAATGATTTCTCTCTTAGCACCCACTAATGACAAACGTGCTCCACTGGTTGGATTGATTTCCAGGGCTACGTTTTATAAATCTTGCCATTTTTATATTTCAGTTAACTCCATCCCTTCTCTCCTTAAAATGGTTATATTTTCAAGCAGTATTTTTCTTTCTAATTTGCCTGTTAAAGACCTTAATTTTGCCCATTACAGTTGAATAGCTGAGCTCCTTTGTCTGTTTACGTGAATCTTATACACTCTCATCCACTTGGTTATTCCGATGGGCTTCAAGCATCTAGAAGATGAACCATGTGATCAGGCTGTTTTGAAAGCAAATAACTTGGACAAGTATGACTGTAGCTTCTCTGATTGGATGCTGGTGGGTGATCATAAGAGAGAAGTTTACTTTGAGAATAATAGCTCCTATTGCCACAGCTGGGCTTTCTGTGAGGGTCATTTGAATTTTAAGCTAATGGATAGTGGGTTTGTCTTGTAAATTCACAATTCAGTTTGTTTGAGGGCCAATTGGATTGCTCTACCATGTCTGAGCCAGTGTATATTCAGGGGCGACTCTACTTACCTTTTGTGTTAGCTGCTTTTAAACGCCACATGTGGTCCTAAATGCTTGCATTTCATTTATAAGAATATTTGGTCCCATTATGATTACATCTGTCTAATGGTTTCTTGCTGAGAAACTGTTATATGATTTTTTTTTCTTTTCGTATTTTGATAAGGAAAGGCTGGTGTTTCAAATCTGTCAAAGGGCCAGTGCTGGCAGCATGTCATAGGGAGCAGGGATAGGAGTTTAATTCTTTGATGTATTTCCCTTTGCTTAGTTCTTTTCAGTTTATAATGGTGTTCTTGTATATTATGAATTTCTTTACTTTGCACGTCTTTGATAAAATACAGCAGGACTAGTAGTGACATTTACATTAGGAAAGTTCTACCTACCTAGAGTTGCCTATTGAGGTAGCCCATAAATAAAGTGGCAACTTTTATTTATCTGAATTTGTGACGAGTAGGAGCTGTGCTTTCTACCCTTAGAGATTCTTAAATGTAGTCTAGGCTTCGTTCTCCAAATGTCTATAATACATTAAGAGTATCCTATGATCCTTTCAAGCCCCTACATTTTCAAACCAAAATGGGAGCCATATTTTCCTCCTGGCATCCACCTGAAGCCCACTTCTCCTTTCTAACTCCATTGTTGGCCAAAAGTGCCCATTTTCTTTTCACCTTGAGTAGCACTTTGGTGCATCTTTGCTTTTTCTTCCTTTTCCTCTATGGACAATCAGTCAGTGACTCCTGCAGATTCTTTCTTGGATTTATACCTTTCTTTTTATCCATATCACTCTTCATGCACTGATCTGACAAACATTTATCAAATGTCTGCTATGACCTAGGAGCAGTAGGGCCCAGAGAGGATTTCACAATAAGCGACTAATTGTTTTTCTTTCCTCAAGTCTCACTTCTCTCCACTCTTCCTGAATAAACTGCTGCTATACCACAATGCCTTTTCAATTATCACTTTCCTATACAAGAGTCTACATGACTTTCTATTTCCAAAGGGTCAAGTCCCTAAATTCTGCCTAGATTATTTCTAATGTGTTCTAGTAAATGTCTCACCCTACCTAGCCAACTTTATTCCTTGCCATTGATTTTCTTCAAGGATCCTCACATGTTGAAAAACAAATTCTTGCCTTTGTTTATGCTATTTGTCAATCCTCTAACAATGACCTATGTCCATTCTTTCCGCTCTTCCTAACTGAACCCTACCTAATCTCTAGGGCCATATCAAAGAGCCAGCCCTCCATGAAGCATTCCCCAATATAGCAAAGAAGCTCAGAACACGCAGGCTGAGGAACACATACTTGGCTTCCAATCCTGGCTCCTCCACTTCTTAGCTATGTGGCCTTAATAAAGTAAGTTACTTCTTGGTGCCTCAGTTTTGCTTTCTGTACAATAATAATAATAATAGCTACTTCACTGGGTTGTCATAATAATTAAATAAGGTAGTTCAAATAAAATACTTAGCGTAGTGTCTGGAATATGGTAATGGACAAATAATATGTATAATAATAATTATTATAAAATTTCCCCTTGACCCCAAACTCTGAGTTATCCCTCTTCTTTGACTATCTTAGAACATACCTTATACTTTTCTGAATGTTCTGCACTGCTGAGCAAAACGTAGGTGCTAAATGAATGCTTATTAATTTTGAAAACATTCCATGTGCTGCTTTAGCAGAATCTGGGAACCAGTTTATTTTTGGATATATTTAATTATATTTCATGAAAATGTGACAGCCACTGTCCTTTAGTGATCCCATCTCTGATCTATGGGATGTGTGTTAATGCTAACTTAGGCAGCAGTTGTGCAAATGATGATAATATACTTTTATATACAACTGTGGCAGAAGCAGTACTTGAAAAATGTGCCAATTATGAATGCCACTTAAATGAAATTCAACCATAGATTGCAATATAATTAAATACAGGATATTTTTTATTTTTCAATTGTGTTGCAAACATGTATCCTCAATATAGGTCAAGTGAAGCAAATCCATGCCATAAGTCAAGATTTTATTAATCAGACTTTATTTTCCATGCCGTTGGTGGAGCATTCTGGCTGGAAGTCAGGTTAGATTGCTCCAAAAGTAATTTACTCCAAAGAACACTTACCCAGTGGGTTTCCTTATTATATTTCCAGTGGGAAAGTAATGATGCCGTACTTCTCTGGAAGCCCTGTTGGGTGCCTGGAAATATGGGAATTTACTTTCATGGAGATTATTTGAACTTGACTGGAAGTCAAGTGAGTGTACCTACAGGGAGGCACAAAGGGCAGAAAACTAAAGAGTGACAGTGTTACCAATTGCAAAGAACCTGCATAGGGAGTCCTAAGACCTGGATTCTGAGTCTAGACCATCTCCTCACTGGTTGTAAGCTGTTGGAGGAAATCTCCTTATCTCTCTAGTGTCAATTTTCATAGCTCGAAAATGAAAGTATCAATATTCGATTTGCTTCATTCACAGAAATGATGTGAGGCTCTAGTGTGGTAATAAATGTGAAAGTCCTTTATAAAATTTCACGCATTATACAAATGTGAATTGTCGTTACTGATACTGTAATGATGAGAGCAGAAAGATAAGGTGTATACTTGGCATCCTGGGCATGCAGGAGCCTGCTGGGGAATGCACGGTTAGGGGTGGTATAAATGGTGAAGAATAGAAATGCTTCTATTTGAAAGGTAGAAAAGGAAAGATGAAGCAGTCAGAATCTTCAACTAGAGCTCAAGGTTTATGAATCCAATGCTTAGATCACCAAATAGGACTCTAATATTTCTTTGAAAGGAGTCTTGGAGTGCTTAGGAACTTTGGTGACAGCCTGAATTTCAGGCAGCCTTAAGATCCTATGGTTTTATTTTGTGGAGATTTCTTTCCCAGAATTATGTTATTCTGTTTAGAATATGATTGTGAAGGGATATGGTGGGAATTAATCTGATCATGATTGAGACCTCAGAGGAAGGCTGCAGGCTTGAATGGGTTCCTAATGGTCATTGGAGTTTACATTTTGCCTTGGGCAGAGTCTAATTCTTCTAGAGAAAGTCCTTGATTTATTTTTAGTTTCTCACCATGTCCAGTATATTTTACCTTACACAGTGCATCCTGCCTTGGGGGAGTGCTGTGGAGGATACAAAGTAGGGTAAGATTAGCCCAGCCTCAAGCTCATAGACAGATGGGGAAGAGTGACTGCTTGAGTGTTTCATTCTCCTTTTATATGTAGGTCCCCACAATGGCTGTAACCACTCAGGCATGTGACAGATTCATATATCTCTTACTTTTTCTCTGCAAGTCCTCATACTTAGCGTTTGTGAACCTGGGTTAGGCATAGACGTGTCTGGGATTTAATTTCCTCTCTGTAAAGTTGATGTTTTAATAGATCCTACCTTATAAGGTGGTAAGGTAGTGTATGTAATGCACTTAGTTCAGTGTCTGTGACATAGTTATTCATAACAGCAATAATAATTTGTCTACTAAACTAGTCCTTCAGCATCCCATGGTTTTAATTTTTAAAATTCTTAACAATTATCTAAATTGTGCTGTTTACTTGCAATTAGCATAATTGTATTGTAGCCAGGGGGAAGAGAGGGCTTACAGAGTATAGAGAAAAGGAATAGTGAGCATTAAAAAAAAAATCTGATGGATTGTTGGGCCAGAAATTCCATTTCATTCTTTGTTCTATGTTTAATGCCAACTTTGTTATTAGAACCATGTTAAAACCTTTTTCTAAGAGTTCAAAATATTTCCAGTTACCCTTTTATATATGACTACTGATCCCTAGAAGGAATAATAACACACTCGACATTCTCCAGGCAGTCCCTCTCTGGTAAATGAGAACTATCTCAAGGGTCAGTAAGTAGAAGTAACAGAGGCAATGTTCTCAGATGGTATTAAAAAAATTTCCCAGGGGTATATAATGCATTTATAATGGAGGCCCCCCTTGCCATGTCAGAGCTAAGATTTGGCTATGTCCATTGTGTGACAACCTCTGGAATCTATTTGTAGCCAGACAGATACATAGAGATTAAGGTACTTTCTGAGAACTCAACTTCAAC
This sequence comes from Homo sapiens, assembly GCF_000001405.40. Lineage (NCBI taxonomy): Eukaryota > Metazoa > Chordata > Mammalia > Primates > Hominidae > Homo > Homo sapiens. Next base: position 82,033,215 of record NC_000004.12, on the reverse strand, counting down.
TAGGTTTAAGAATGAAATTCTATCAACATAGGGGAGGAGAGATATCCGTGACAGAAGACCAATTGCAAGGAACGGCTGCTGGGCTAGACCCAGAAAGAGAGTCTGAGGATCTGGGATTATAGATTGCAGAAACAGATAGTGGCTGGTGTTTGAACTCCCTCCTCTTTCCCTCTGTCCCCTGAGCCAAGTGCCCTGTGCCAGGAAAAATAGCTTAACATATCATGATCCAAGCCACCCTGCTACAGTGCCCTTTCAGAGAGCAGAATCAGAGGAAAGAGCTTTTTCAATGCAAGGGGAGCACTGGTGGCCTGGGCAGAGCGGTCATGGGGAGTTTGCTGCAGGGGTAGTAGGGGTGCACAGGCCACCTGGAGCCAGCCTGGTCCAGTGGCTGCCTGGATTGGTTCAGGTGCTTACATGGCATAATTTCCTCAAAGGACACCTCCTGACACCAGAGGGAGGAAGGATCCTTGGAAGAACATTTGATATTCTTAGGGTGGGAGTGGGTTTATGTGGCTAGCAATATTTGGGTGTAAGTGATAAGGTGACTTCCTTTGTAATCATATTTGTGTACATAAAATGGGTCCATATAATCCTGTCAACTTCCTTCTTTACTATTCTGTACTTGAATCAGTGATTCCCACAGGCTACAGGTCGATCTTTTGTGAAATCGAATCCCCCACTGATATGATTTTGCTGTGTCCCCACCTAAGTCTCATCTTGAATTGTAGTTCCCATGATTCCCACGTGTCGTGGGAGGGACCCAGTGGGAGGTAATTGAATCATGGGGGCAGTTACCTCCATGCTGTTCTCATGATAGTGAGTGAGTTCTCACGATATCTGATAGTTTTATAAGGGACTCCCCAACCCTACACCCCGACCCCCGCTCATTCTTCTTGTTGCTGCCATGTGAAGAAGGACTTGTTTACTTCCCCTTCCACCGTGATTGTAAGCTTCCTGAGGCCTCTCTAGCCCTCGGAACTGTGAGCCAATTAAACCTCTTTCCTTATAAATCACCCAGTCTCTGGTATGTCCTTACAGCAGCAGGAGAACAGAACACCCACCAAGCCATTTTTTTTCCCCCAATGAGCTTACTTTTAATGTTCATTTTAACGACATTTTATATGCGTTAAAAAGTTGTTTATCTGTTAGGAGAAAGTGGGGTGGTATAGAGAGGTCAGTCACACACAGAGCCACATGCAGACAGAAAGACGGACACACAGTGATTTGTGCCTCAAATGGCCATGATGATTAAACCACACCATGACCAGTAAAGTGACTCAAGAAACCTCACTGATTTTATTTACCAACTTTGCTCCAAACCTTAAAACGTGCTTTGTGTACCTGAGGCCAGTCTCATAGGATAGTTCTCAGAGGTTAACAAATAGAACTTCCTTTCCTTTAGAAAGGGAGTTTCTGTTGTGCCTCCTTCCTGTCCTCCAGCTTAGGGAGTTCCTTTCTAAGAATCTGTGACATAGCTATGTGCAACTTCATTTTTTTCCATCTTACTCTGCAAATAGAAACTGATTTCATTTTTTCTCATGTATAAAGAAATAGTGCATCTGATTTCACAGGCCAGAAAGAAATGATTGGAAAGCATCCAGCCAAGCCCTGGGGAACTCCCTAAAATTATCCTCTACCTTATGGACTGTCCAGATTGTTTGCATGTGTGACTGGGGAAGATGGGGGGCAGGGAAGAGGGACTTGGGGAAGACAGTTTTCTTGTGCCCAGATGCTGTGAGTATGTCAGATGGCTGGGTGAGCACTCTTGATGCCTCCTGTGATTTTAGGAGTCTATTTGTTTGGTGCCAGGTTTGCAAGTCCACGCAGCTGGGCAGACCCTCTGGGGTTCCTAGTTAATGCAACTCCCTCTCTCTGCATGTTGTGTAGACTTTCCTTACATGTGACTACTTCCTAGACAAATGGGGGGAGGACTTTTCTTGGCTTACCTTGGCTTGTGTCTTTGATTTGTAATTGCTGTGGGTTGGAGTGACTAAGAAAAATGCTCTCACTTTGTAGCGTTGATGGACGATAAACAATAGTAATGGTTCTTTAGAATTTACCAAAGCACCTTACGTACATTATTTTACTAGAAACAGAAAAATTTCAGGGAGCTATTTTACCCTATTTAGAGCTATTTTACCCTATTTAGAGATGGAAAACTAAAGAACAAGGAATTAAGAAATATTAACTATTGGAAAAGAGCAAAATTGTCCAAACGGTTTTGCAGATATTTAATTTACTACCTTTTTCCATGTAAGCTTTCCTTCTTAATAGGGTAATGTTTATCAGGGATTCGGGTGTGAGCAGGAAATGGGGAGATTTAGGACAAAGGATACAAACTTGCAGGTATGTAGGGTAAGTAAGTCTAGAGATTGAGTGTAAAACATACCGTTGTATAATAATGGCATTTTTGTGGAGAGAGTAGATTTTACATGCCCTTACCACACACACACACACACACACACACACACAAAGGGTGTCTGTGTGAGATGATTGATATGTAAATTTGATTGACTGCAGTACATCCAAACCTTATGTTGTTTACCTTAAATATATACAATAAAAAGATAGCACTGGAAAGTCATCATCAATTGAAATCATTAATATGAAATTTTTGAAAATCATGAAGTATTACAAAAATGTAAGGTATCTATCTCAAATACAGTTTGGGACAATGCAGGGTGCACCTAAATGCCATAAAATGTTATTGTTATTTAAACAAAAAATTCCATCATTATTAAAGGGCCTTAACATCTCTGGCCTTGCACATTTATATGAATACAAATGGGAGCAGCTTTGATTATACGTTTCCAAAATCATTCCCAAGCCTTTTTTGTCTCACAACATTAGTACAAATCACACCTGTCATTTCTGACCATCCTCATCTCTTCCTTCAATTTCTTTATATCACTGGGTAAAGAGTACCTAAGCCATGAACTGTAGAGAATAGTTATATTTTTCTATCTGGAAAAATCATTCCTAAGGTGCAGCTGGTTGGGGTGATGACCCAGGATTTTATGTTTTGGAACCTTCTGTTCTGCTGACTGAGAGCTTTATCAGTGGTAGAGAATAATCAACACATTTCTTGGCACAGTGCTTTGTAGATTTTGAAGTACTTTGACCAAATCTCTCTTAACAGCTTTTGATACCTTATTATTCCCATTTGACACATTTAGAAGCTGAGGTCCAGAGAGGTAAGGTGAATGTACTGACATAACAACAGGCAGAAACTGATGGAGCTAGGACGTTAGCTGTAGGTCTTCTGTCCCAAGTTCTTCCATTCTTTCTAGGGTAACCTGGGTATTAACTGTGTGCTCTCACCAGTGTAAGGAGGCAAGCAAGACTCATATATATTAACCATCTCAGTGATGACTTTAACATCACCAATGCAAAGAGGTGGCACTTCCCACTTCCTGTACCTAAGGCTGCCTTTTAAGTGATTATCTTCTGGAGTTTAAATTTGAATCATTATTCTCACCTGATACTTACCATCTGTAGGATCGTAGACAAGGTACTTAACATCTCTAAGCTTCAGTGTCTTCATCTGTAAGGTGAGGACAGTGGTTATTATGAAGATTTAATGAAGAAATATATACAAAGTGTTAAGCACTATGCCTGGCATGTAATTAACATTAGATGTTACCTCTCTTCTTATTTTTCTTATTTTCTACTTCGTGATTGGGCTTGAATTACATTTTAGCCTGGTCCCTCCTGTATTAACTTTTTTGGAGGGCAGGCATTGAGTGGACATGTGATGGGAGTGAGAAAGGCTTAGGAGAAGACACCTACTATATACTTTGTCCTCAGCCCACATAGAAACCAAATTAGACTCCAGAGCACTTTCAGTGATAGAAGATTGGTTTGATTTTTTTTGGGGGGGTAAATAGACCAGTGTTTATTTTTCTTTGTGAAGTCTCTTAGCCACCACATACTGTGCTATGCTGATTGTTCATTAAACAAGTTTTTAGTTAGTCCCAATTATGTGTTCCATATGTGTGCTTGGTGCTGTAAGGATTACAAATAGAACAAGATGTGGTCTCTGCCCCAAGTTTACTTGAGGAAGCTTGATTTCTAAGCACAAAAATAGAGTCCTATTCTGAGCTGAGGTGTGGTGGAAAACCACTATGTCTGTTCTAGGGTAAAGATTTCATGAGCTAACTCTTTTCCTAACATGCTTCGAAGTGCTGTGACACCACTTAAAATATTTCTTCAAAAGGAGTTTATTATAGAAGAAATAATGCTTTTCCAGATTCGTGCTATAAGTAGGCAGAATACATTATCATTTGTATCTTGCTACTTTCTAAGACACAAATAATGATTAAAAATGGTAAAAATTGAGATTATGTCTGAGGTTGTATCTGGTTGTAAAACCTTTTTCAAATAATGGATCTTTATTGGATTTTCTGATTTCGTTTTGTAGTGCCTTAGGCAAATTACTTTCCTCGTATGTAAAATGCTCTAAATGAAAATATCTCACTGCACTGTGCTGCAAATTAAATGAGATATGATGTGAAAACACTTAGCTTTCACTCAGTGCCTGGCGCATGGTAGCAAATATTCAGTTAGCAATATTTTTCTTTCTATATTGATGGATATGCTCCTTGTCTTTCCTAGAGGTTTAAATGAAACCTCCTTTTGAACTCCCATCTCCTGTTGTTCACTTTTATTCTGCTATCCCCTAGAGCATTTTGATATTTTTTACAGCTTGGCATGGCTCTTCATGGATAGCCCATCAAAGAGTTAATAATGCTGTGCTCCAACATTTCTGGGTTGCTGGAGCTACTTAATCAGAGAAATCATTATAGCTCATTTTGTGCAACCCATTGATGTCCAAAGCAACTAATTAGAGAGAGTGTATAGAAAATCAATCTTTACTATAACATTGACATTTCTTCCAACTTAAGCAATTGGTTTGCTTACATTCTTTGTGCAAACCTGTAGAGATTTAAAATTATCCCAGATGACTACATTAGAGGGTTCTAATAGGCTCTTGGTGTCAGAATAAAGATTATTTGAACATTAAATACATAGTTAGAATTTGGAAGGGATCTAGCACTTTACATGAGCTCACTGGACAAGTAGTTTGCACTCATGACATCATTAAAGAAGCTCTTTGAGAATCTAGCCCATTTATAAGTAGAGGGAAGAGGAGTGTGTTAGGTCTTTCCTTTACCCCTGCAGTTCTTGACCTTCCCCATCACAAGTTCCAGGAAGCCAACCTGCATGAAATACAGCAATAGAGTTCTCTTGGCCTCAGTTTCTAACTGGGTTTGGCCAATGAGGAGTATTGTTGAGAGAGACTGGAGGCAGTGAAAATTGGGCGGGCAGACATTTGTTAACACTGCTCCCTACATGTGAGACCTCCTTGGGCTGACTCTGTCCCTCTACCTAAGATCACAGCTCCTGTAAGGTGGTCGTCACCACACAGCCTGTCTCCAGTTTCCCGTCATTGTCGCTTCTCTTGCTACTTTAGGGTTGGTAATTGGGCATGTTACTTGCCTCAAAATATTGCACAATGCCTTGTGGTTTTCCTACATCTTTTCTACATCTTTGTAAATAGTCAAAATTTTATTGAATTTTCCTTAAGTTACCTTTTTTGAATATGACATGTATTTCCTACTAGAACCCTGAATGATAGAGGAACAGTAGCAGCTTCTGCTTGAAAGATAAAAGTGACCATCTGAATGACTGGTTTGTAAACAATTCTGTCAATTCATTAAAATGCTGTGTGCTTCATTATACATGCATGTAAAAGTGGATAAATTCACAACATGAAATCACAAGAATGATATATAAAGATGTAACTTGTTTTTGTTGCAATTTGTAGTTAAATGAAAAGTGATTTGGGTTGAATGAGGATATTATTAGAGCTTCTGTAAATGTCAGTCTTAAAACAGTAGAGTGTTTACAGATGTAGTGGAGCACAAAATGCATTGCATCTCTACTTCTTAACTTGGAAGTGAGGAATTTGAATCCCCAAGAAGTTAGATCTGAGTTGCCCAAGGTCAGACAACTACTGTATTGGTTCATTTGGGCTGCTACCACAAAATACCATAAACTGAGCATTATAATTAACAGAAATTTACTTTTCCTAGCTCTGGAGGTTGTCCAAAATCAAGGTGCCAGGCAGATTCTGTGTGTCCTCACAGAAGCTGTCTTTCAGTTTAACCTCACTTGATGGAAAAGGTAAGGAGACTCTCTTAGGCCTCTTATAAGAGCACAAATGCCACTCCTGAGAGCTCTGAGCCCATGACCTAATCACCTCTCAAAGTCCCAATTTCTAACTCAATCACCTTGGGGTTGAGGATTTTAACATATGAATTTCGGAAGGACTTAAATATTCAGACCATAGCAACTAACATGTGGCAAAGCTGGGTCTTAAATCTCATCTCATGATTCTAAAGCTAGTGGTTTTGGGTTTCGATTTATTTTTAAAAGGGGAATTAGGTGCAAGTGAGGAATTTCAGTTTACAATAAATCACCTGTCACGTCAGCCAAACAAAACAATGTTATGATGATATTAACACTGTTTTTAAATTTGTTTATTCATAAGAGAATTTTTTGCTGCATAGTGCTTTTTGGTTTAGAAAATGTAACTTATACTTGTGCTGAGTGATAAATTATAAAAACATTTAGAAAAGAATCCCAGTCCCCAAATAGATTTTATTATTAAAAGAGTTTCCAGGGAATTGGTCTGTCTTCACTGTTTCATATCAGAAAAATATTTTATTTTCTATTGTGTATGTGGTATGTGCACCCTGAGAATTGGAGTGGTTGTTACACAGAAAGTGTCAGTGTTTCTGCCCTTAACATAATAATAGCCTAATGCAACGGAGATAGGGTAGAGATGATACCCAAATTGAAAAATAAACAGGGTAAAATTTTCTGTTTAAGCCAACTGTTAGGACCTACTAGATAATGCCTTCAATTAAAGGGTAGGGCCCTGAAGTCGAGGGTAGAAACTTACATTTTTTAAACAGTCTCTTCTACCTCTTACATGTGGGCAGGGAAAATGATAATTGTTCAGTAATATTTGACAAATAAATGAAACCGCAGTAGGTGTTCATTTAGTATTTCAGGAATAAGAAAGGGAGTTTGGGCTGGGTATGGTGGCTCATGTCTCTAATCTTAACACTTGAGGAGGCTAAGGTAGGAGGATTGCTTGAGTCCAGGAGTTTGAGACCACTCTGGGCAAGGTAGTGAGACCCTATCTCTACCAAAAAAAAATAGTAAAAAAAAAAATTAGCTGGGTCTGGTGGTGCATGCCTGTAGTCCCAGCTGCTCAGATGGCTGAGGTGATAGGATTGCTTGAGGCTGCAGTGAGCCACTGCACCACTGCACTGCAGCCTGGGCAACAGGGTGAGAGAGACCCTGTGTCAAAAAAAAAAAAAAAAAAAAAAAAAAAAAAAAAAAAAGAAAAGAAAGAAAGAAAGAAAGAAAGAAAGGAGGTTAGGTCTAATCTGTGTTTTATCCAGTTCATAGTTGCTAGGCTAGATGGCTTATGCATTGGAACTATTATTTTGCTATATATTGTGTGAGAGAGTGTGGTGATAATTTTTTCTATTTCGGTTTGCATCTAGAAAACCCAATTGGATTATCAATTCAATATTAGCTCTTTAATAAATTAAAAAGTGAAACTGTTTAGGTAAACAAATCAATAACATGATAGTTTAAATCAATTTTACTATGAAACATCATCACTTTTCTTGTGAATAAAACCTTGAAAATTAATCTGTTTATTGGCTTTAGTTTTTATACTTTTATACTGATACATAACAACAGTCACTCACACCAGCTAGTTGTGTTAGTTTTCCTGCATTTTTATAATGTACTAAGATGATCTTTGCTCTAATTCTGATTTCTAGTACAGAATTACTATAGTAACATACAGAGTACACATTACTATATTAAATGCATATGTTAGTATTTTAAACTCTAAAATTTGCTTCTGTGCGATGCAAATATATTCCATTCCCTTTAAAACATCATATATGGGTGCTTGCCTTTTTAATATCAAGACTGGCTTGATTATTTTTTGAGTGGTAAAGCTTTCTGAGAAAGATCTGTTGAAAAGATAATGGACAAATATATGTTTACCCATATGTAAAAATTATATTGTAATCAAGACATTTCCTTTAAAAAGAAAGTTGAATAGAGAATTATACCATTATCCTCTAGGGAGGGTGCCCAATGCCCTTTCATCTTATCAAATTAGTTAACTTCCCCATTGGACTCCGAGGTGGAAGAATACAGACCTAACAGGTTGCAGGTCTCAGATGGGCCATATATGAGAGTAGGTAAAGTCACTATATGCATATGTTTGTCTCTTTTTCTTCTTCCTTTCTTCCTTCTAAAATGATAACAGCCAGGAAAAACTCCCACTTGAGACAATGCACAGCTATCTCTTTCTCTTTATTTCTCTTTCTTTTTTTTTAAAATTATTATTATACTTTAAGTTTTAGGGTACATGTGCACAATGTGCAGGTTAGTTACATATGTATACATGTGCCATGCTGGTGTGCTGCACCCATTAACTTGTCATTTAGCATTAGGTATATCTCCCAAAGCTATCCATCCCCCCTCCCCCCAACCCACAACAGTCCCCAGAGTGTGATGTTCCCCTTCCTGTGTCCAGGTGTTCTCATTGTTCAATTCCCACCTATGAGTGAGAATATGTGGTGTTTGGTTTTTTGTTCTTGCGATAGTATACTGAGAATGGTGATTTCCAGTTTCATCCATGTCCCTACAAAGGACATGAACTCATCCTTTTTTATGGCTGCATAGTATTCCATGGTATATATGTGCCACATTTTCTTAATCCAGTCTATCATTGTTGGACATTTGGGTTGGTTCCAAGTCTTTGCTATTGTGAATAGTGCCGCAATAAACATACGTGTGCATGTGTCTTTATAGCAGCATGATTTATATTCCTTTGAGTATATACCCAGTAATGGGATGGCTGGGTCAAATGGTATTTCTAGTTCTAGATCCCTGAGGAATCGCCACACTGACTTCCACAATGGTTGAACTAGTTTACAGTCCCACCAACAGTGTAAAAGTGTTCCTATTTCTCCACATCCTCTCCAGCACCTGTTGTTTCCTGACTTTTTAATGATTGCCATTCTAACTGGTGTGAGATGGTATCTCATTGTGGTTTTGATTTGCATTTCTCTGATGGCCAGTGATGATGAGCATTTTTCCATGTGTTTTTTGGCTGCATAAATGTCTTCTTTTGGGAAGTAAGTGTCTGTTCATGTCCTTCACCCACTTTTTGATGGGGTTGTTTGTTTTTTTCTTGTAAATTTGTTTGAGTTCATTGTAGATTCTGGATATTAGCCCTTTGTCAGATGAGTAGGTTGTGAAAATTTTCTCCCATTTTGTAGGTTGCCTGTTCACTCTGATGGTAGTTTCTTTTGCTGTGCAGAAGCTCTTGAGTTTAATTAGATCCCATTTGTCAATTTTGTCTTTTGTTGCCATTGCTTTTGGTGTTTTAGACATGAAGTCCTTGCCCATGCCTATGTCCTGAATGGTATTGCCTAGGTTTTCTTCTAGGGTTTTTATGGTTTTAGGTCTAACGTTTAAGTCTTTAATCCATCTTGAATTAATTTTTGTATAAGGTGTAAGGAAGGGATCCAGTTTCAGCTTTCTACATATGGCTAGCCAGTTTTCCCAGCACCATTTATTAAATAGGGAATCCTTTCCCCATTGCTTGTTTTTCTCAGGTTTGTCAAAGATCAGATAGTTGTAGATATGAGGCGTTATTTCTGAGGGCTCTGTTGTGTTCCATTGATCTATATCTCTGTTTTGGTACCGGTACCATGCTGTTTTGGTTACTGTAGCCTTGTAGTATAGTTTGAAGTCAGGTAGCGTGATGCCTCCAGCTTTGTTCTTTTGGCTTAGGATTGACTTGGTGATGCGGGCTCTTTTTTGGTTCCATATGAACTTTAAAGTAGTTTTTTCCAATTCTGTGAAGAAAGTGATTGGTAGCTTGATGGGGATGGCATTGAATCTATAAATTGCCTTGGGCAGTATGGCCATTTTCATGAGATTGATTCTTCCTACCCATGAACATGGAATGTTCTTCCATTTGTTTGTATCCTCTTTTATTTCATTGAGCAGTGGTTTGTAGTTCTCCTTGAAGAGGTCCTTCATGTCCCTTGTAAGTTGTATTCCTAGGTATTTTATTCTATTTGAAGCAATTGTGAATGGGAGTTCACTCATGATTTGGCTCTCTGTTTGTCTGTTATTGGTGTATAAGAATGCTTGTGATTTTTGTACATTGATTTTGTATCCTGAGACTTTGTTGAAGTTTCTTATCAGCTTAAGGAGATTTTGGGCTGAGACAATGGGGTTTTCTAGATATACAATCATGTCATCTGCAAACAGGGACAATTTGACTTCCTCTTTTCCTAAATGAATACCCTTTATTTCCTTCTCCTGCCTGATTGCCCTGGCCAGAACTTCCAACACTATGTTGAATAGGAGTGGTGAGAGAGGGCATCCCTGTCTTGTGCCAGTTTTCAAAGGGAGTGCTTCCAGTTTTTGCCCATTCAGTATGATATTGGCTGTGGGTTTGTCATAGATAGCTCTTATTATTTTGAGATATGTCCAATCAATACCTAATTAATTGAGAGATTTTAGCATGAAAGGTTGTTGAATTTTGTCAAAGGCCTTTTCTGCATCTATTGAGATAATCATGTGGTTTTTGTCTTTGGTTCCGTTTATATGCTGGATTACATTTATTGATTTGTGTATATTGAACCAGCCTTGCATCCCAGGGATGAAGCCCACTTGATCATGGTGGATAAGCTTTTTGATGTGCTGCTGGATTCGGTTTGCTAGTATTTCATTGTGGTCTGAGAGACAGTTTGTTATAATTTCTGATCTTTTATATTTGTTGAGGAGAGCTTTACTTCCAAGTATGTGGTCAATTTTGGAATAGGTGTGGTGTGGTGCTGAAAAAAATGTATATTCTGTTGATTTGGGGTGGAGAGTCCTGTAGATGTCTATTAGGTCCACTTGGTGCAGAGCTGAGTTCAATTCCTGGGTATCCTTGTTAGCTTTCTGTCTCGTTGATCTGTCTAATGTTGACAGTGGGGTGTTCAAGTCTCCCATTATTATTGTGTGGGAGTCTAAGTCTCTTTGTAGGTCCCTAAGGACTTGCTTTATGAATCTGGGTGCTCCCGTATTGGGTGCATATATATTTAGGATAGTTAGCTCTTCTTGTTGAATTGATCCCTTTAGCATTATGTAATGGCCTTCTTTGTCTCTTTTGATCTTTGTTGGTTTAAAGTCTGTTTTATCAGAGAGTAGGATTGCAACCCCTGCCTTTTTTTGTTTTCCATTTGCTTGGTAGATCTTCTTCCATCCTTTTATTTTGAGCCTATGTGTGTCTCTGCACGTGAGATGGGTTTCCTGAATACAGCACACTGATGGGTCTTGACTCTTTATCCAATTTGCCAGTCTGTGTCTTTTAATTGGAGCATTTAGTCCATTTACATTTAAAGTTAATATTGTTATGTGTGAATCTGATCCTGTCATTATGATGTTAGCTGGTTATTTTGCTCGTTAGTTGATACAGTTTCTTCCTACCATCAATGGTCTTTACAATTTGGCATGTTTTAGCAGTGGCTGGTACTGGTTGTTCCTTTCCTTGTTTAGCGCTTCCTTCAGGAGCTCTTGTAGGGCAGGCCTTGTGGTGACAAAATCTCTCAGCATTTGCTTGTCTGTAAAGGATTTTATTTCTCCTTCACTTATGAAGCTTAGTTTGGCTGGATACGAAATTCTGGGTTGAAAATTCTTTTCTTTAAGAATGTTGAATATTGGCCCCCACTCTCTTCTGGCTTGTAGAGTTTCTGTTGAGAGATCCGCTGTTAGTCTGATGGGCTTCCCTTTGTGGGTAACCCGACCTTTCTCTCTGGCTGTCCTTAACATTTTTTCCTACATTTCAACTTTGGTGAATCTGACAATTGTGTGTCTTGGAGTTGCTCTTCTCGAGAAGTATCTTTGTGGCATTCTCTGTATTTCCTGAATCTGAATGTTGGCCTGCCTTGCTAGATTGGGGAAGTTCTCCTGGATAATATCCTGCAGAGTGTCTTCCAACTTGGTTCCATTCTCCCCGTCACTTTCAGGTATAACAATCAGACGTAGATTTGGTCTTTTCACATAGTCCCATATTTCTTGGAGGCTTTGTTTGTTTCTTTTTATTCTTTTTTCTCTAAACTTCCCTTGTCACTTCATTTCATTCATTTCATCTTCCATCAGTGATACCCTTTCTTCCAGTTGATCGCATCGGTTCCTGAGGCTTCTGCATTCTTCACGTAGTTCTCGAGCCTTGGCTTTCAGCTCCATCAGCTCCTTTAAGCACGTCTCTGTATTGGTTATTCTAGTTAGCCATTCGTCTAAATTTTTTTCAAAGTTTTCAACTTCTTTGCCTTTGGTTTGAATTTCCTCCTGTAGCTCGGAGTAGTTTGATCGTCTGAAGTCTTCTTCTCTCAACTCGTCAAAGTCATTCTCCGTCCAGCTTTGTTCCGTTGCTGGTGAGGAGCTGCGTTCCTTTGGAGGAGGAGAGGCGCTCTGCTTTTTAGAGTTTCCAGTTTTTCTGCTCTGTTTTTTCCCCATCTTTGTGGTTTTATCTACTTTTGGTCTTTAATGATGGTGATGTACAGATGGGTTTTTGGTGTTGATGTCCTTTCTGTTTGTTAGTTTTCCTTCTAACAGAGAGGACCTTCAGCTGCAGTACTGTTGGAGTTTGCTAGAGGTCCACTCCAGACCCTGTTTGCCTGGATACCAGCAGTGGTGGCTGCAGAACAGCGCATTTTCGTGAACTGCAGATGCTGATGTCTGATCGTTCCTCTGGAAATTTTGTCCCAGAGGAGTACCTGGCTGTGTGAGGTGTCAGTCTGCCCCTACTGGGGGGTGCCTCCCAGTTAGGCTGCTCGGGGGTCAGGGGTCAGGGATCCACTTGAGGAGGCAGTCTGCCTGTTCTCAGATCTCCAGATATGTGCTGGGAGAACCACTGCTCTCTTCAAAGCTGTCAGACAGGGACATTTAAGTCTGCAGAGGTTACTGCTGTCTTTTTGTTTGTCTGTGCCCTGCCCCCAGAGGTGGAGCCTACAGAGGCAGGAAGGCCTCCTTTAGCTGTGGTGGGCTCCATCCAGTTGGAACTTCCTAGCTGCTTTGTTTACCTAAGCAAGCCTGGGCAATGGCGGGCACCTCTCCCCCAGCCTCACTGCAGCCTTGCAGTTTGATCTCAGACTGCTGTGCTAGCAATCAGCGAGACTCCGTGGGCATAGGACCCTCTGAGCCAGGTGCGGGATATAATCTCCTGGTGCGCCATTTTTTAAGCCCGTTGGAAAAGCACAGTATTGGGGTGGGAGTGACCTGATTTTCCAGGTGCCGTGTGTCACCCCTTTCTTTGACTAGGAAAGGGAACTCCCTGACCCCTTGCACTTCCCAAGTGAGGCATGCCTCGCCCTGCTTCGGCTCGCGCACAGTGCGCTGCACCCACTGTCCCATGCCCACTGTCTGGCACTCCCTAGTGAGATGAACCTGGTACCTCAGACAGAAATGCAGAAATCACCCGTCTTCTGCATCGCTCACGCTGGGAGCTGTAGACCGGAGCTGTTCCTATTTGGCCATCTTGGCTCCCTCCTTTCTCTTTCCTTTCTGTCTTGTAAGAGTAGAAAGCTCTTTCTCAGAAAAGGTCTAGCAAGCTTTCTTGCTATCCCTAGATTCACTCTCTTCCTTCCACACTTCAACAAATGTGAAGTTATCCCAGCAAGAGTCTCAATGTTAGAGAGTGATAACTATATCTGTTTCTTCATTGTTGGGTGCCCAGCACATAGCAGTGTTTTCCAGTTAGCAAGCTTGTAAAATGAATATATGAATGAATAAATGCGTAAAACTATACCATCTTTTTTCCACAGGTCTTCCCCTTCCACCATCTCTTTCATCATCACTAAGAAAACTTGAATGATATTCTATTCCATGAGTGTATACTTAAGGATATAAGATGCTTTTTAAAATTTAAATTATAATTTTAATTTTGAGACAGTCTTTCTCTGTCACTCAGGCTGGAGTACAGTGCATGATCTCAGCTCACTGCAACCTCTGCCTCTTGGGTTCCAGTGATTCTCCTGCCTAAGCCTTGCAAGTAGCTGAGATTACAGGCACACACCACCACTCTGGGCTAAATTTTAGCAGAGACAGGGTTTCACCATGTTGACCGAGCTGGTCTTGAACTCCTGACCTCGAGTGATCTGCCTGCCTCAGCCTCCCAAAGTGCTGGGATTACAGGTGTGAGCCACCAAGAAGCTATTTTTTTTTTTTTTTTAATAGGCTCTTTTTCTCTTTGGCCTTGGAGGCTTTCAGATTTGACTCTCATATTAACCTGATTACATTTGCTTTAAATATTGAGGGTAGATAGGGAGGAATGTTAGTATCCCTAATGTGATTTTCCCTTCTCTGGGGAAGCACTGGGCCCTTAAATATTTTAGGGGACATTGATTGTAAATTCTAAGATATATTGTGTTAGCAACTTTAACGTTGTTTAAATTGATTAAAAATATTTGTGTATATCTGACTTAAGTTGATACAGTTAAAACTGTTCATGCTTTTCAAGTTACTAGTATTCAGTTGAAGAATACAGAAGCATAAATTTTAATGCATTTTCCACTTTTTTGGGTAACTTTTTGTATGTTTATTTTATTTCCTGAGTCATTTTCTGTACAAATCTTCAATCACCGTTTATTGGAACAGTTAGATAGTAAATACAGGAGGTTTTCTTCTCAAGGCAAATAGTTTCTGTTTTATTCCAAGATGTCGATCATTTTGAAAAATGTTGCAAACAATGAAAATGGAAAAATTTCCTTATTACCATAAACATCACATTAACTTGAAATATTAAAACTATCGGCTGGGTGTGGTGGCTCGTGCCTGTAATCCCAGCGCTTTGGGAGGCCCAGGCGGGGGAGCCACTTGAGTCCAGGAGTTTGAGACCGGACTGGGCAACGTGGTGAAACCCCATCTCTACAGAAAATACAAAAAAATTGCTGGTCATGGTGGTGTGTGCCTGTAGTCCTAACTACTCTGGAGGCTGAGGTGGGAGGATCACTGGAGCCTGGGAGGCAAAGTTTCAGTGAGCCGAGATGGTGCCACTGCATTCCACTTGAGTGACAGAGTTAGACCCTGTCTCAAAAAACAAAACAAAAGATAAAACTATCCATGAACTTTTTTTTTTTTACAATAACTTTTAAAACAACCCCACTAGCTTTTCTCCTCAAGTTCAGTGTCCTTTCCTACCCATGGTGACTGTCCATGGTGCTGAAATGATACTGTCTTTTTAGACATACTCACAAAATGATGGCGACATAAGACAATTTCTATTCCAAGCCCCTCATTTTCAATGAATATTATGGAGTGCCTAACCTACAGCTTGTAATGGCTGATAAGGGCAAGAATCCATGTGCTTTCCCCACTACCCCAGGCTGGCAAACTTGCCTTCAAACCTGGAAGATCCCAACTAGAGTTAAATGTGTAAAACTCTAGGGTTCAATTTGAAAAGTGAGTTACTGTATTATGAGTCTTCATAATATAGTAATGAAGTGTCACCAGCTTGTAAAAACCCTCCTTTTGAGGGCTGTAAATCCTGTTTGAATTCTTTTTTAAATTCTGAATTATTTCTGACATTTGAGTCTTTTGAAAGCCTTCTTAATATTCTGACTGACTTTGAGGTACATTTCAAATACAAACAATTACCTCATTATCTTGGAACCAGTATTTAAAGTGGTTCACTGTCAACTAATGATTTAAGAAATTTTGGGAAAGGATAAGATTTAGAAAAATAAATCTTGAGACTCCTAGGTAAAAACTTTGAGATAAAATATGAACCATCCTTCTAAATTATGCTTAGCAAAATTTCATCTGATAAAGCTTTATTTCCCTTTAGGATTATTTGAAATACTACTTAGCTTATTCTTGCAAATTAGCTTGCTAATTTTATTTTCCCCATTATTTTTGTCCTGGTTTGACTGTCTCTTGGAAACACTTGAAATCTATTTTGGTATTGCCTTTTAAAAATTAATAAGATTACTTGTATCTTATTTAGAATATGAAGAAAATTTTAGAAAAATGAAGACATAGTGTCTTCCAAATATATCTATTGGAAAAATAGCAAAAAAATCCCTTAAATTAAACCCATGTATTCACTCTACTATATAAGTATGTACTGTTTGTTCATAATTGTGGTAGGAAAAAATTAATTTATGACAGTCCTGGCTTATCCTTCTTAGTTTGTAATTTAGTTTGTTTAAACATCAACACTCATTATTTTTAAAAAGCTTTATTGGAGTATAATTGACATACAATAAATTGCTATAAAAGTGTAAAATTGCTATAAAGTGTACAACTTGACAGATTTTGACATAGGCATATACATGTGAATCTGTTACCACAATCAAGATAATGAACTTGCCCATCACTCTCAGAAGTTTTGTTGGCTCTGTTATAATCTTTCCATGGGTACCTCACTTCTACCACCAGGAAGTCACTGATTTGTCCTCTGTCACTAGGAGTTAGTTCATATTTTCCAGAATTTTATCAATGAAACCATGCATTTATAATCATTTTTGTCTGGTTTCTTCCCATCATTATTTATCATTCACCCATGTTGTAATGTATATAAATGTTCATTCTTTATTTTGCTGAGAGTATTTTATTATGTGAATGTGCCATAATTGGCTTATCCATTCACCTATTGATGAACATTGGATTATGTATAGTTTTGGCTCTTACAAATAAAGTTGCTGTGAATATTCATGTACAAATGGACATATACTTTCATTTATCTTGGGTAATACCTAAAAGTGGAATGGCCAGCTCATGTGGTAGGTATATGTTTGCTATTTAAGAAACCATCAAATTGTTTTTCAAAGTGGTAGGTTCATTATATATTCCCATTAGCAGTGTATGAGCATTCCAGTTCCTTCACATCCTCACTAGCACTTGGGATGGTCAGATTTTAAAATTTTAGCCATTCTAATAGGTGTGGAGAGATATCTCATTGTGACTTTAATTTGTATTCCCCTAAGGACTAATGATGTTGAGCATCCTGTCATGAGCTTGTTTGTCATCCACCATTTCTTTGGTGAAGTGCCTATTCAAATCATTTGCCAAATTCTTTCCCTGATTATTATTTAGAGAGTTAAAAACATATGGCCGGGCACGGTGGCTCACACCTGTAATCCCAGCACTTTGGGAGGTTGAGGCATGCAGATCATGAGGTAAAGAGATCGAGACCATCCTGGCCAACATGGTGAAACCCTGTCTCTACTAAAAATACAAAAAAATTAGCTGGGTCTGGTGGTGCGTGCCTGTAGTCCCAGCTACTCAGGAGGCTGAGGCAGAGGGATTGCTTGAACCTGGGAGGCGAAGGTTTCGGTGAGCTGAGATCGCACCACTGCACTCCAGCCTGGCGACAGAGCGAGACTCTGTCTCAAAACAAAACAAAACAAAAACCTGAATACAAATACCTTATCACATAAAGGATTTGCAAGTATTTTTTCCCCAGTCTGTGGTTTTTCTTAATGCATTCTCTTAACTGAGTCTAGAAGTTCTAAGTTTTGATTGGTTAAATTTATCATTTTTTCTTTTATGGAACATGTGTTTTATGTGATATCTAAGAAATTATTATTTAACCCAAGGTCTCAAAGATTTTCTCATGTATTTTCTTGTAAAAATGTCTCAGTTTTACATTTTACATTTAGGTCAATGATCCATTTTGAGTGAATCATTACATGTTATTTGAGGTATGAACCAGACGACGATCACTACTACTACTTCTCCTCCTTCAACTCCTCCTCCTCCTTTTTGTTCTTCCTCCTCCTCTTAATTTGTCTCCTTCCTTCTTCTCCCTCCTCCTTCTCCTTTTCTTCCTTCTTTTCTTCCTTTTTCTTCTCTTCCTTCATTTCCTCCTTCTCATTCTTCTTCTGTCTTCTTTCTCTTCTTTCTCCTCCTCCTTCCCTTTCTTCTTCTGTCTTCTTTCTCCTCCTTCTCCTCCTCCTCCTTCTTCCTTCTTGCTTCTTTATATGTATTGCAATCCAATTACAGCACCATTTGTTGAAAAGATGATCCTTTGCCCACTAAATTATCTTTGTATCTCTCTAAAAAATCAGTTGTCTGTGGAACTTTCTGTACTTTCTACTCAGTTTTACTGTAAACTTAAAATTGCTCTAAATAATAAAAGTTGATTTTTTAAATAAGAATTAAGGCTGCACATGGTGGCTCACGCCTGTAATCCCAGCACTTTGGGAGGCCGAGGTGGGCAGATCACGAGGTCAGGAGTTCGAGACCAGCCTGGCCAACATAGTGAAGCCCCATCTCTACTGATAATACAAAAATTAGCCGGGCATGGTGGCACACACCTGTAGTCCCAGCCACTTGAGAGACTGAGGCAGGAGAATCGCCTGAACCCAGAAGGCGGAGGTTGTGGTGAGCCGAGATCATGCCACTGCACTCCAGTCTGGGCAACAGAGCAAGACTCCATCTCAAAAAAAAAAAAAAAAAAAAGCAGCAAAAGTACATTCATGTGCAAATCAGTACCTTGTTCAATTTTTTTTGGAGAGAGTCTCTGCAGATCTTTGGAGTCTTCTCTCTATGAAAGTTTATCCTCTTTGGAACTCTATTGTGCAAACTGTAGCTGCCTTGGTCTCCCCAGCCTCAGCTCTGTCTTCTCAGCTCAGTGAGTTGGCTGGGCTGCACTGGATTCCTTTTCCCTGGGCCAGTGTCCAGAAACTCTCAAGGCAGTAAACTGGCACAATGATAGGTCTCCCCTTACTCATTTGTAGTCTCTCAAGGATCATCACCTGCTCTCCACTGTCTTGAAAATCATTGTTTCATATATTTTGTTGTTTTGTTGTTTCAAGCATGAAAATACATTTGGCCCCTGTTATTCCAAACACTGTTATTATAATTGAGGAGTAATTATATGCTAAGTCATGTGTTAGATATGGTAAGCGTAGCTGTTGGAATTAAGTAGAAGTAATTTCCGGAATGATAGGAGAAAGATACATGAAAGAAGGGAATGAACTGAGATTTGAAAGTTAAATAGAATCTGGATACATATAGCAGAGGTATCATATCTCTGCAGTGATAAATAGTCCCCCTCCTGCCACAAAAGAACTATGGAGACATGAATGAAGAAGACCTTTGTTATCAACTATCTTAAGGGACCAGTCTACATATTTACTTCAAGGAATTTTGTTTGTTTAACCATGTCTTTCAGATAGAAACTATTAAGAGAGTCAGTGAAATGTAAAGTTTAGCCATTTGGGATATATTGTTTGTTAATACCAGGTTTAGTTTTCAGTATCATGTTGTTTTACTATGTGAGTTTTTATTGAAAATAATAAATGAATGAGTTTTGGAAACAGATCCAGATTTGAATCTGGCTCTGACGTTTATTAGATGTGTTGCCTTAGAATAGTTACTTCTTTTAGTTTCAGTTTCCTCATCTTTAAAATGGGGATAATGATGGTATGAGGATTAAATGAGATCATTCATATGAAGTAATGAACAGAGCCTGATACAGATTGAACTCTCAATTAGTGTTAGTTGCCATTTATCTTAGTCTGTTTGTGCTGCAATAACAGAATACCACAGACTAATTTATAATGAATAGAAATTTATTTTTTCACAGTTCTGGAGGATGGGAAGTCCAAGATCAAGACACTGGTGTTTGGTGAGGGCCTTCTTGCTGCATTATCACATGGCAAAAGGTGGAAGGATGTAGAGACAAAAAGGGGGCCA
Organism: Homo sapiens; assembly: GCF_000001405.40. Classification (NCBI taxonomy): domain Eukaryota; kingdom Metazoa; phylum Chordata; class Mammalia; order Primates; family Hominidae; genus Homo; species Homo sapiens. The sequence continues at coordinate 82,013,409 of NC_000004.12, read as the reverse complement.
AATTTGTTTTTGCCTTTTTATAATGGCATTAATCTTACCCATGAGAGCAGAGCCTTCCTGGCCCTATCACTTCCCAAAGGTCCCATTTCCTAACATTACCACAATGGCAGCCAAATTTTAACATGAGTTTTGAAGGACAAACATTCAGACCATAGCACCATTATATGTTATACTGTAAAGGTAGAAAGTCAGTTGCATTAAATATCTTGTAGTAGTCCTGGTGTGATTCCATCCTGCGTGGCTGTTCTCTGGAGCAGTAGTTGATATTTATCTCCATCTGGCTTCTCTCCCACCTGAGTATATGCTACCACCAAGTGAAGACTGATGGACATGACCATGAGCCCCCTGAGGCCCTAGAACTATCATTTTTTGTCATGAGCTAAAGGCCCACAAAGATTAGTATGTTAAAGTGGGTAATGATGAAAATGAGCACCAGTTATCTTTAAGAATAGTCAGTTTAGAATACCAGAAATTATTGTTCCTAACTGTAACTTTGTACCCTTTGACCAATCTCTCCCTATCCCCCCATGCTCTCCCCTCCCCAGCCTCTGGTAACCATTATACTACTTTCTATTTTTTTTTCATGAATAATCAGATTACTTTTTTATTGTTCATTTTAAAAATTTTTATTATTTTTTACTTTAAGTTCTAGGATACATGTGCAGAAGGTGGAGGTTAGTTACATAGACTATAGCTAACAGTAATGTATTGTGTATTTCAAAGTAGCTAGAAGAAAGGATTTTAATGTTATCACCACAAAGAAACAATAAATGTTTAAAGTAGAAGATACACTAATTACTTTGGTTTGATCATTATACAATGTACCATGCATTGAAACATCACACTGTATCCTATAAATATGTACAATTATTATGTGAAAATTCCAAATAAAATAAAACTTTAAAAACTGGATATTTCACATATTCACAAATTTGTAAATTAATATCAAATTTAATCCAATAAACAAATATTTGGATTCAAAAAAAAAAAGAATAGTCAGTTGAGGGACTGGTGCAAAGGATGAATTGTACATTGTTGAAGCAGAGGCAACAAATGATGAAGGCAGGTTAATTAAAATAACACAGCCAACTTTGAAAATATCTTCACAGCCAATGGGTTCCTTAAGGGCTTTAAAAAATTTTTATTTTAAGTTCCGGGGTACATGTGCAGGACGTGTAGTTTTGTTACACAGGGAAATGTGTGCCATGGCGATTTGCTGTACCTATATACCCATCACCTCAGTTTTGAGCCCAATATGCCTTAGCTATTTTTCCTGATGCTGTCCCTCCCCCTGCCACCTCCACCCCCAACAGGCCCCAGTGTGTGTTGTTCCCCTCCCTGTGTCCATGTGTTATCATTGCTCAGCTCCCACTTATGAGTGAGAACATGTAGTGTTTGGTTTTCTGTTCCTACGTTAGTTTGCTGAGAATGATGGCTCCAGCTTGATCCATGTCCCTCCAAAGGACATGATCTCATTCCTTTCTATGGCTGCATAGTATTCCATGGTGTATATTTACCACATTTTCTTTCTCCAGTCTATCATTCGTGGACATTTGGGTTGATTCCATGTCTTTGCTATTGTGAATAATGTTGCAGTGAACATACACATGCATGCATCTTTATAATAGAATGATTTATATTCCTTTGGGTATATACCCAGTAATGGGATTGCTGGATCAAATGGTATTTCTGGATCTAGGTCTTTGAGGAATTGTCACACTGTCTTCCACAATGGTTGAACTAATTTACATTCCCACCAACAATGTAAAAGCATTCCTATCTTTCAGCAGCCTTGCCAGCATCTGTCGTTTCTTGACTTTTTAATAATCACCATTCTCACTGGTGTGAGATGGTATCTCATTGTGTTTTTGATTTGCATTTCTCTAATGATCAGTGATGTTGAGCTTTTTTTCTTATGTTTGTTGGCTGCATAAATGTCTTCTTTTGAGAAGTGTCTGATCATGTCCTTTGCCCACTTTTTAAACGTTTTTTTTTCTCTTGTAAATTTGTTTAAGTTTCTTATGGACTCTGGATATTATATCTTTGTCAGATGGATAGGTTGCAAAAATTTTCTCTCATTCTGTAGGTTGTCTGTTTACTCTGATGATAGTTTCTTTTTCTGTGCAAAAGCTCTTTAGTTTAATTAGATCCTTTTTGTCAATTTTTGCTTTTGTCTCTTGAGGACTTTAAAATAACACTTGTGGTCTTCTGGTTGAAGTGTAGTTCAGGGCCAGTGCATATTAGTGGACAGCGCTTAGTAACTATGGAGGAAGATGCAGAGTCAGAAGATGAAGAGGAGAAGGATATGCAACTTTTAAGTATATCTAGAAGGCAGTCCACCTGTGGAGGTGATAAAAGGTTCCACAGAGAAAAGTAGAACTTGCTGCTGATGAAGATGATGATAATGATTTTGATAATGAGGAAACTGAAGAAAAAGCTCTAGTGAATAAATCTGTATGAGATACTTCTGCCAAAAATCAAACCAGAATAGAAAAAGACTAAAAATCATTAACAAGAAGATCTAAAGGTGAAGAATTATTCAAAAAAAACAGGAAAAAAACCCTGAAAACACCAAAAGGACCTAGTTCTGTAGAAGATATCAAAGCCAAAATGCAGGCAAGTATAGGAAAAGGTGGTTCTCTTCCCAAAGTGGGAGCCCAGTTCATCAGTTATGTAAATAATTGCTTCTGGATGAATAAACAGGAGGCTATTCAAGATCTCTGGCAGTGGAGAAAGTCTCCTTAAGAAATTAGTTTAAACAATTTGTTAAAAATTTCCCATCTTATTTCATTTCTATAACAGTTGATATCTAGATGTCTGTTTGATAACACAGAGTGAGAACTTTCCCTACCATGTTTGATAAATGTCCAGGTTCCACTGCTAAGAATGTGTTTTCCAAAATGCCTATTTGGTTTTTAAAGATGGATCTCCACCCTCTGCTTGGTTTTAAATATGTATGAAATGTGTGCTAGGATATAGTAGTTGCAGTGGCCAGACATGGAAATGGCAGGGAGACAAAAATGTACATGTGAAATAAACTCAATGTTTTAATAAAGTAAAAAAAATTGTAATATTCAGCCTTCTGACATCAAACTATTTGTTTTTCTCATAGAATCTTATAACTGAAAAAACTATATTTGAGTATAATATTCTTCTATTCATTTATTTCTTTTTTTTTTTTTATTATACTCTAAGTTTTAGGGTACATGTGCACATTGTGCAGGTTAGTTACATATGTATACATGTGCCATGCTGGTGCGCTGCACCCACTAATGTGTCATCTAGCATTAGGTATATCTCCCAATGCTATCCCTCCCCCCTCCCCCGACCCCACCACAGTCCCCAGAGTGTGATATTCCCCTTCCTGTGTCCATGTGATCTCATTGTTCAATTCCCACCTATGAGTGAGAATATGCGGTGTTTGGTTTTTTGTTCTTGCGATAGTTTACTGAGAATGATGGTTTCCAATTTCATCCATGTCCCTACAAAGGATATGAACTCATCATTTTTTATGGCTGCATAGTATTCCATGGTGTATATGTGCCACATTTTCTTAATCCAGTCTATCATTGTTGGACATTTGGGTTGGTTCCAAGTCTTTGCTATTGTGAATAGTGCCGCAATAAACATACGTGTGCATGTGTCTTTATAGCAGCATGATTTATACTCATTTGGGTATATACCCAGTAATGGGATGGCTGGGTCAAATGGTATTTCTAGTTCTAGATCCCTGAGGAATCGCCACACTGACTTCCACAATGGTTGAACTAGTTTACAGTCCCACCAACAGTGTAAAAGTGTTCCTATTTCTCCGCATCCTCTCCAGCACCTGTTGTTTCCTGACTTTTTAATAATTGCCATTCTAACTGGTGTGAGATGATATCTCATAGTGGTTTTGATTTGCATTTCTCTGATGGCCAGTGATGATGAGCATTTCTTCGTGTTTTTTGGCTGCATAAATGTCTTCTTTTGAGAAGTGTCTGTTCATGTCCTTCGCCCACTTTTTGATGGGGTTGTTTGTTTTTTTCTTGTAAATTTGTTTGAGTTCATTGTAGATTCTGGATATTAGCCCTTTGTCAGATGAGTAGGTTGGGAAAATTTTCTCCCATTTTGTAGGTTGCCTGTTCACTCTGATGGTAGTTTCTTTTGCTGTGCAGAAGCTCTTTAGTTTAATTAGATCCCATTTGTCAATTTTGTCTTTTGTTGCCATTGCTTTTGGTGTTTTGGACATGAAGTCCTTGCCCACGCCTATGTCCTGAATGGTAATGCCTAGGTTTTCTTCTAGGGTTTTTATGGTTTTAGGTTTAACGTTTAAATCTTTAATCCATCTTGAATTGATTTTTGTATAAGGTGTAGGGAAGGGATCCAGTTTCAGCTTTCTACATATGGCTAGCCAGTTTTCCCAGCACCATTTATTAAATAGGGAATCCTTTCCCCATTTCTTGTTTTTCTCAGGTTTGTCAAAGATCAGATAGTTGTAGATATGCGGCATTATTTCTGAGGGCTCTGTTCTGTTCCATTGATCTATATCTCTGTTTTGGTACCAGTACCATGCTGTTTTGGTTACTGTAGCCTTGTAGTATAGTTGGAAGTCAGGTAGTGTGATGCCTCCAGCTTTGTTCTTTTGGCTTAGGATTGACTTGGCGATGCGGGCTCTTTTTTGGTTCCATATGAACTTTAAAGTAGTTTTTTCCAATTCTGTGAAGAAAGTCATTGGTAGCTTGATGGGGATGGCATTGAATCTGTAAATTACCTTGGGCAGTATGGCCATTTTCACGATATTGATTCTTCCTACCCATGAGCATGGAATGTTCTTCCATTTGTTTGTGTCCTCTTTTATTTCCTTGAGCAGTGGTTTGTAGTTCTCCTTGAAGAGGTCCTTCACATCCCTTGTAAGTTGGATTCCTAGGTATTTTATTCTCTTTGAAGCAATTGTGAATGGGAGTTCACCCACGATTTGGCTCTCTGTTTGTCTGTTGTTGGTGTATAAGAATGCTTGTGATTTTTGTACATGGATTTTGTATCCTGAGACTTTGCTGAAGTTGCTTATCAGCTTAAGGAGATTTTGGGCTGAGACGATGGGGTTTTCTAGATAAACAATCATGTCGTCTGCAAACAGGGACAATTTGACTTCCTCTTTTCCTAATTGAATACCCTTTATTTCCTTCTCCTGCCTGATTGCCCTGGCCAGAACTTCCAACACTATGTTGAATAGGAGCGGTGAGAGAGGGCATCCCTGTCTTGTGCCATCATTTATTTCTTAAGCTTTATTTTATTTAGTACTCTCAGTCTTTGCCCGTATGGTAACAAACATCTTAATAAAAATGGAAAAAGCATTAGCTTTGGATAACTGTGTTCATCTTAATGGTCATGCTGAATTGACTAGACAACTTTGACTAAATTAACTGTATTTATTTGGACTTCCATTTGCAATTTTTAATCTGAGTCTTCTCTCTCAATCTCTATTTTATCCCTGTTACTCCCGTCCTGGTCAAGTTGGCATCCACACCCAGCAGTTTCTCCATGGGTTTTGTCCTGGAAGGAAGCTTTTGTTCCTCAATTTTGAGATTTTATAAGAGCCACGCTCCTCCAGCCCCTTCAGCCCTCCCTTACTGAGAACGTTTTGCACTACAAATTGGAATGTGCAGAGTTCTTTCGAGTCTCAGCCACTGTCCTCACATTGGCCTGCTGTGCTTCCCAGGGACCACTGGTTGATAGTTTTTGAGTTTTCCTGTTCTCAGATCCCTCAGATATTCTGCTTCTTTCTCTTATCTCTTACATGGTAGCTGATACCCTATAGGTCTTGTGGTTGGCTGGTCATTTAATCCCCATCTGTTCATATTTTCAGGTTGCTGGGGAAATCTTAGCACCTCATTGTTACCATGGTGTAAATATTGGCCATGAGTTTTTGGTTTTGATATTCTGCTTGCTCTGTCTGTTTTTATGTAGTGGGGGTGGTGGATTGGGGAGATTTAAAAACTATATTGTGGTTGCCATCATCTTCCCAGAATTCCTCCCTGATCAGTCCCTTTTCCACATTTATCTCTATTTGAGATATTGCCAACAGTTTTCTGGAAGCGCTGACCCACAGGTTAATTAAATGGAAACTAGATTGTGATAAAAGAAACTAGCCTCACTGGAGGTGGCTTGCTGGTACAATTCTTTTAACGTGGGCATTTAATTTTCCTGGATGTGTCTGTCTGGCACTTTGGATACATTACTTCCTTATTACTCAATTTGCAAATATGGTGACAGTGTATATATCATTTTTATGCATTTCAGATATGCTGTGAGTCAATTTCTGTTCTCCTGCTCTATAAACATGAGAATTACTTTAAAAAATGGATTTAGCACCATTACCTTAAGATTCAGGTATTGGTTCTAATTCTCCATCATGGGAATTGTAAAGGGGTTTTACTTTTTGCCATGTTGAGTACTTTTTTAAGTGTTCCTGTGTGAGAGGGTTGCTTTCTTTTCTTTCCCTGACCTCATGTCTTTCTTGGTCTTAAAAACCGTTCAGGCCTGTAGTCCCAGCTAATCGGGAGGCTGAGGCAGGAGAATGGCGTGAACCCGGGAGGCGGAGCTTGCAGTGAGCCAAGATCGCGCCACTGTACTCCAGCCTGGGCAACAGAGTGAGACTCCGTCTCAAAAAACAAAACAAAACAAAACAAAAACAAAACAAAGAAACAAAACAAAAAACCATTCAGGTTGGGAATAAAGGAGGTGAAAGCCTTCTTAGGGTTTTCACTGGCTTCAAACCTAGTGTCAATTAAACAAGTGTAATTTCTTTTGGAACTTTGCCTCTTTTTTGAGGAAATTAATCATTGCAGAAATATTCATTTGGTCATTTGAAACCTTATGAATTTTTGTTTGAGTTTAAAATTGATTAGAAGTGATGCTGGTAGTACTCTGTGGTGAGTGAGAAAGGAAGGAAGCAGAATTCATTATCCCCCCAAATCTATCACACTGCAAGGGCATTTTCTGAAAAATCATTATTGTGAGCATGTTGTTAGACTCTACTATGAAAGGTGAGTGGATTAGAAATTTTACCTAATTCACAGGAGAGGAAAATAGGAATCTGAGAAATTTCTAAAAGACCTAGAAGATATAATTAATTCTCAAACTTCTTCCTTGTGTTCTGTGCTCAGCTATAGAAATGTCTGATTTTTCAACAGCAATAATCATTGATTACCTACACTTTCTCTTACAATAACAATTTTTACCTAATTTTCAGAGAGATGCAGAAAGCCCTAATTTTGGGAACTGTAGTAATTGCTACTGATTACACACATTTTTTGGGGGGTGCATAAATGGACTTTGATGTACTTGGAGTTGGGTGATTTACAATAGGAGAGGTTTTCTCCGTATTTTACCTCACTTCTTGTCCCAGCACAGCCCATCTTCTCCTCTCTGGAGTCTTGCTGTGTGTGGTACCCAGTTCATGACTACTTAATGCCCAGTTCTTCACCCTTGCCAGGCTATTTTCCACCATCTGAAAAGCCTCCCACGTCAACTATATTAGTAAGAGTTAATCTGTCTATTCTTATCTTGATCAAAACTCAATTCCTGCAGGAAATCTTCTATAAATGTTATTCCCTCTGAGTGTGCCATTGGGGCACCATCCCTCTGGCATGTGTATATTCAGTTTGAATAATAATGCTTCTCACTGCATTTAATGTAGCTTTCAGTGCAAGCCGAGATCTTAATAAATAATTCTTAACTAACTAACCTATCACCTTTCCTTGTAGGAAAACCAGTAAGTAGGTTAACCTCATGTATCAAAAGTTTTTATTCAGGTTTTGAGTGTTTTAGCATAAAACAAATGTTCTATGACAACTAGAGGAGGATGAGTTTAGGTGAATTAAGTTCTATAGTGCAACTTGGTTATTTGTATATCAGCACTTTAATATAACATGTAGTAATAACTGTATGAATGTTTTTTTGAATTATAAAAGGAACAATTATATATAACTGCATACCAGGCACTTTGCCAAGGAATCTGGATCATCCTGTTTAGGAAGTATGTGCTATTATTGTACTTACTTTACAAATGGTGACCTTGATATTTAAAGAAGCTGGGTAACTTGTGGGAGATTACTCAGGCAATAAATGGCAGACCTGTGGTTTCTTTACAGGCAGTCTGAATCTAGAGCTTACATTAACTACTTCATTCAGTCCTAATTCCAAGAATAAGAACACCATGATAAATTATCTTTTTTTCCTGTCCATTTTACCGTACCTAGGCAGATTTCAATAGCCCAGAGCAATGCTTCACAAAAACTTTTTCATGATAACCAGCATCAGAATCATTATATTGTATAACTGATTCATTGACTAAACATTGGCCTGTGGGATATAATCTAAGGGCAGCTTTGTTTTTTTCTCTCACTATCCTAGCTTTGTTTGGAGGTCCAGTCCACACTGACTCTTGCTTTAGAAAGTTCTCTGCAGCAGAATCTAAAACAATTTGAGGTCTGCTCGCTGTCCTATATGACCTGCCTTGTTTAGAGGAAACACGCATATATCCATTACCACCATAAATTCTGGGAGCAAAGACTAAACTAAGCTGGTGGCGATGAGTTCAGCCTGTGCTCCCAGAATGTATGGGGGTAAGGGATATATGCAAGTTTTCATATGTATATGTCCTCAGGCATGTTCACTTTTTCAGCAGTAAGTTGAGCCTGCTGTCTTTCAATAGCCAGGAACACATTTCAGGCTCTGTGAATGATCTCATGGGAGTCCCCTGTCTTTGCACACTCTGACCCTTTTTTATATCCTTGTTTAGATGAGGCATCCAATGCGATGGAACTAGTTTGAATAATTTCTTTTGTGGATTCTGCACATGGGAGGAGTGAGTGAGTGAGGGGTGTGACTCCCACTCACTCTGGTATCTGTCATATTGGTGCCAGTGCAGGACATTTCATTTTGTCCCTCCAGACTCTCTCTCAAGTAAGTCCTCTCTGTCTTCTTGTGCAGCCCAAGAGGCTGAGCCATATAGACCGTATCAATGTGCTCCTACGGGAGCACATTCCTGTTGACATTTGTCAATTGAGAGTATCAGAAGAAGCAAGAAGGGAGAAGAGTAAGGTGGGGGTATTGTTTCCCTGGGTTCCCTCTCTGGGTTTCCTTGGGCTGCCTGCTTCCCTCGACGAACACCACAGCTTTTGTCAAGCAGTTCTCTCCACCCACTGCCTGTACTCTCTGATTCTGGTAACTAGTCTCTTTCCTTGCCCTTTCAGGTCTAGGGAAGTTAATAGGTGCCTTGTTTCTAGTTTTGGGGTGCTGCATTACCCCTTGTGGTTTCCCTATACCCTACTTACACCTTTTGTGAATTCTGCCTTTATGAAACATCCCTCAGTTATCTCCTTCAGTGTGACATCTCTTTCCTGGTGGGATCTTATTTGATATGACACCTCAGTTGACACTGACATAGAGATGCTGCCCTTTTAGCATCCTGTTACACATGTTAAAAATATAGATTCCTTAGATCCCCATCAGACCTACCGAATCACAATCTCTGGTGGTAGCATTTGGGATCCTGCATTTTAAATAAGCATCTCAGATGATTCTAATGCTCACTGGAGATTCAGATTTAATAGAAGCTGTATTAATCTGTCCTTGCACTGCTGTAAAGAAATACCCGAGACTAGGTAATTCATAAAGAAAAGAGGTTTAGTTGGCTCATGGTTCCACAGGCTGCACAGGAAGCATGACTGGGGAGGCCTCAGGAAACTTTCAAGTATGGCAGAAGGTGCCACGTAAGAAGGTGCCATCTTACATGGCTGGATCAGGAGGAAGAGAGCGAAGTGGGAGGTGCTACACACCTTTGAACAACCAGGTCTCATGAGAACTCACTGTCATGAGAAAAGCAAGGGGAAAATCCAGCCCCATGACCCAGTTACCTCTCATCAGGCCTCTCCTACTACATTGAGGATGCCAATTTGACATGAGATTTGGGTGTGGACACAAATCCAAACCATATCATTCCACCCCTGTCCCTCCCAAATCTTATGTCCTCCCACATTGCAAAGTACAATCATTGGCTGGGTGGAGTGGCTTATGCCTGTAATCATAGCACTTTGGGAGGCTGAGGCAGGTGGATCACTTGGGGTCAGGAGTTTGAGACCAGCCTGGCCAACATGGTAAAACCCCATCTCTACTAAAAACATACAAAAATTAGCCAGGTGTGGTGGCGTGTGCCTGTAGTCCCAGCTACTTGGGAGGCTGAGACAGAAGAATTGCTTGAACCCAGGAGGCAGGAGTTGCAGTGAGCGAAGATCACCCCACTGCACTCCAGCCTGGATGACAGAGTGAGAGTCTGTCTCAAGAAAAAAAAATAATCCGTTCTCAACAGTCCCCCAAATATTAACTCATTTCAACACTATACTAACTCAAAAGTCCACAGTCCAAAGTCTCATCTGAGAGAAAGCAAGTCCCTTCTGCTTATAAGCCTGTAAAATAAAAAAAACAAGTTACTTTCAAGATACAGTGGGGGTACAGGCATTGGGTAAGTACACCCATTCCAAAAGGAGAAATCAGTCAAAAAAGAGGGACTATAGGCCCTGTGCAAGTCCGAAACCCAGCAGGGCAGTCATTAAATCTTAAAGCTCCCAAATAATCTCCTTTGACTCCATGTCTCATATGCAGGCCACACTAATGCAAGGGGTGGGCTCCCAAAGCCTTGTGCAGTTCCACTGCTGTGGCTCTGCAGGGCTCAGCTCCCATGGCTGCACTCATGGCTAGCATTGAGTGCCTGTGGCCTTTCCAGGTGCATGGTGCAAGCTGTCAGTGGATCTACCATTCTGGGGTCTGAAGGATAGTAGCCCTTTTCTCATAGTAGCTCTCTCATGGTAGCTGTGAGAAGAGGACTACCATGTGTGGTAGATCTGTGTGGGGCTCCAACCCCACATTTCCCCTCTATACTGCCCTAGTAGAGGTTCTCCATGAGGGCTCTGCCCCTGCAGCACACTTCTGCCTGGACATCCAGGTGTTTTCATACAACCTCTGAAAGCTAGACAGAGACTCCCAAATGTCAACTCTTACCCTCTGTGTACCTGCAGGCTTAACACAGTGTGGAGGTACCAAGATTTAGGGCTTGCACTCTCTGGAGCAGCAGCCTGAGACATATCTGGGGCCCTTTTATCCATTGCTGGAGCTGGAGTGACTTGGACACAGGGAGCAGTATCCTGAGGTTGTGCAGGGCAGTGGGGCCCTGGGCCTGGGCCATGAAACCACTCTTCCCTCCAAGACCTCTGGGCCTATGATGGGAAGGGCTGCCAGGAAGGTCTCTGAAATGCCTTGGAGGCGTTTTTCCCATTTTCTTGGCTATTAACATTTGGCTACTCTTTACTTATGCAAATTTCTACAGCAGGCTTGAATTCCTCCCTAGAAAATGGGTTTTTGTTTTCTACCACATGGTTAAGTTGCAAAGTTTTCAAACTTTTGTGTTCTACTTCCATTTAAAATAGAACGTCCAGTTTCAAAACATCGCTTTGCTCATGCATACACTGTTAGAATCAGCCAGGCTACATCTTGAATGCTTTGCTGCTTAGAAATTTCTTCTGCCAAATACCCTAAATCATTGTTCTCAAGTTCAAAGTTCCACAGATCTCTAGAGCAGAGGCACAGTGCTGCTAGTGTCTTTGCTAAAGCATAGCAAGAGTGACCTTTACTTCAATTCTCAATAAGTTTTGCATTTCCATCTGATATTACCTCAGACTGGACTTTATTGTCCATATCACTATCAGCATTTTGGTCACAACAATTAAACATGTCTTTAGGAAGATCCAAACTTTCCCTTATCTTCCTGTCTTCTTCTGAGCCTTCCACACTCTTCCATCCTCTGCCCATTATACAGTTCCAAAGTAACTTCCACATTTTCAGGTATCTTTATAGCAATGCCCTACTCCTAGGTACAAATTTTCTGTATTAGTTTGTTCTTACATTGCTGTAAACAACTACCCGAGACTGGGTAATTTATAAAGAAAAGAAGTTTAATTGGCTCATGGTTCCACAGGCTGCACAGGAAACATGGCTATGGAGGCTTCAGGAAACTGTCAATCATGGCAGAAGGTAAAGGGGAAGCAGACACATCTTACATAGCTGGAGCAGGAGGAAGAGAGCGAAGGGGAGGTATACACTTTTAAACAACCAGATCTCATGAGGACTTATTATCATGAGAACAGCAAGGGGGAAATCTGCCCCCATGATCCAGTCACCTCCAAACAGGCCTCTCCTACAACATTGGGGATGACAATTTGACATGAGATTTGGGTGGGGACACAAATCCAAACCATATCAGAAGCTTAACACCAGGAAGTAGAAATCCTGGTGTTTTGAGTGAGACCCAACAGGCAGGAGTTTAACCAGGGTACACCAGCCTAGAAGGCTTAATGAGTTCAAATTGGCAAAGTGCTTTAAGATTCAATAATAGAAAAAACAATATGTTCATACCACCCTTGTAGCATTTGTGTTTTCTTATATTTTCTTCAAAAGTTGACTTAATTCTTTTGAGCAAATTGATTATTTTTCCACCATTGTATAGCTCCTATGGGTGGTTTTAAAAAACATTTTTCTTGAGATTATAGACATGGCTTACCAGTATCAGTTCAAGTTATTGTGGCCTAATACATATATCTAATATCATTGTTGTTAATACTTCAATTACATAAATAGTTTTTGAAATAACTCTTATTGCTAAATGTTTTCTAGAACATTTTTTTAAAAGGAGAGTTTTGGAATTACCTTTAATAATGGTATGGCAGGCATAATAATTTCCCCTGCTGCAAATGTCCATGTCCTAATACCTGGAACCTGTGAATATGTTAGATCACATGGCAAAGGGAAATTAGAATTTCAGATGAAGTTAAGATTGCTAATCAGATGACCTTGAGATATTAAGATTATCCTGAATCACCCACTGGTCCCAATGTAATCACAAGGGTCTTTACAGTGGAAAAGGGAAGCAGACGTCAGTGTGAGGTGATATGAAAAGGAGTAGACCTATTTTGGCTTTGAAAATGGAAGGGGCTACAAAACAAGGAATAAAGGCTGCCTCTGGGAGAGGGAGAGTCTTAAAAAGGCAAGAAAACAGATTCTCCCCTAGAGCCTCCAGAAAGGAACACAGCCCTGATGATTCCATGATTTTAGCTTAGTGAGACCCATGTTGGACTTCTAACCTACAGAAATGTAAGATAATTTGTTTTAAGCCACTAAAGTTATTGGTAATTTATTAGTAATTGGTAATTTGTTACAGCTGCAGTAGAAGACTGACATAAAGACTTACAACAAATGGGTGGGAGGTGGTTTCAAATAATAAATCAATACTTTAACTGGAGTCATTTACCCTTCAAGCCTCTGAGTATGTAATGGCTATAATTGTCATATTCGAATATTTGAAAATTTAATTCATTCCTTTGGAGACTTAGTGAGTGATATCATGACTTTTTGATATTTTAATTATGAGGTTGGTATGGGAGCAAATTATGCACAGGGAGTGACAACTAGGAACCCGTGGTGCACTACTGGACCCATTCTAAGCCAGGGCTTGACTGATGCTGCCTAGAATGTCACTGACTTTCATTCTGAAGGAGATCAGCCCCCTAAGAGATGATATCTCCATAGAGATCCTGTTCTTTTGTGTCTCTGGGAGCCTGTCAGCTCATTCCCGTGTAGGTAAAGAGGCTGGTTAAGGAGCAGGAACATTTCTGCCCAGGAGGGTGGTTCATGCTCCTGAAGTGGGATCTGAACAGCAGCCCAGGGAGGCAGCTATCTTTTGTGTCTCCCTCTTGTTTAGGGATATGGAACTCTTAAGAGTTCCCACTCTTTACTGTATTGCTTAATGGGCAGCACTTGAGACCTGGTTATGTTGAACCAATGAACAAATAATCTTCAGTTCCCCAATTGTGTTCCCTTTCTGAACACAAATTTTTGATGCAGGTGAAGAAAACATGCCAATACTGTTGGCCTTTTATCTTTTCTTTTGTTACCAATTTGGTTATGGGAGGGATCTGGTTTTCTCTTCCTTGAATCTTCCCATTATTCCTTCTTTGGAAAGGTTTTGGAAGGTAACATTTGGGGTGGCTAGAAATATCCTCTGTGGATATTTCCACAGACCAGAGAGACTCTGGGGTCTCAAGGAGGCCAGAGCAGGGTCCTGAGGTGTAGAGAAAGTGGAGGAATGGCCGATTTAAGGGAGTGAGGTGATGGGGTCCTTGAGGTCTCCACCTCATCTACCTCAGCTGAGTAGAGTAGAAAGCAGATGGGATTTCTGAGTGGAAACCTCGCCTAGGAACATTTGCCTGGAATGTCCTCTTGTGTTATGTCTCTTGGGCAGCTAAGGAAGAGAGTAGGTGGCTGGACAGTGCATAGTTTAGTTTTGCTGAAACTCTCGTAAGAATCAGAAAATACTTTTTATCTATAAAAAATTCTTAATTATTTAATAAGTTTTCAGTTACTTTCAGAACATTTTGCTTTTTTAAGGAGAGAAGTAAATTCATAACCTTTATTATTGGATGTTTTCATTAACCAAAGTTTTGTTTGTACATGGCTTAGAAAATCAAATATTCTTTGAGGTTTTGACAGCGGCATCCCTGAACTACCTGCTATACCCTCATTTCTGATTTCCAGAGGAAATTTGGATATACTCTCCCAATTCTCATATTAAACATTTTATATTTGCTATCATATTTTAAATTCCCTAGAACTAATTTTTGATTTCTGAATGCTGACAAGGATTTCCTCCTCAGGCTCTATCAAACTTTCTTCCTGACTAGGCCTTGGCCTGCTGAGCCCAGTTTTAGCAAGAATTCTTCTATGCCAGTTTACTGAGAATCCCCCATTCTTAATATCCAATCAAGTTCCTCATTCTCCCAGGCTTGATACCCAGCAAAGTTTCTTTTAGTCATTTTCCATCCAATGACTCACTCATTCTGCCCATTGGATATACATCTCCAACTGTCCCTGTTGTATTTAGAGTTGAGTTCAGCCTCTTTCTCCTACTGTAATAGTCTTGACTCCTATTGCAATGGTCTTGAATAAAGTCTTTCTTGCCTGCTTAATTAGTCTGGTGCCATTTCTCTTTGATGGTGTTTCTTGCCTGCTTAATTAGTCTGGTGCAATTTCTCTTTGATGGTGTTTCTTTTGTATGAATTCTTTTTCTTATTTTTGTCAGTGTAGTATCTTCTTTTATGAACCAGAGAATATTAGTGACTTTTAAAATAAAAGTTTTCTTTTCTCTGCTTTATTTCTACAGATTTAGAGAGGCTTTTTTTTTTTTTTCCTGGAAAATGTTTTTTTTTTTTTTTCTCTGTTTTCATATTTAAGAATGGAGTACTATTCGGATTGGAACTTCTGTGTGTGAATACTTATCAATTGGTAGCCTTTACTTTAGGATGATTTGGCTAAGCCATTTCATTGCCTCTACCTCCTCCTTCATTCCCCCATTAATACCTGCTCTTCCTTTCTCTGGTGCTGTTTAGTTTCTCCAGAGAGAAATTTCCCAAGCTTCTGCTTGTTGGGGTAGACAAGGGCACAGTTAGTTAAGTGAGTTCTGGAAGCAAGTGTGAATAAGAATCTGGGAATCTCACCTTTAAATGTGTGGTTTTATGTAATTACCCTATTATAGTAGTCTCTCTGTATCCATGGGAGATATATTCTAAGACCCCCAGTGGATGCCTGCAACTGTGGATCATGCCGAACCCCATATATACTGTTTTTTCCTCTACATGCATACCCGTGTTAAAGTTTAATACACAGTAAGAGATTACCAGTAAGAACTAATAATAAAATTGAACAATTAAAACATACTCTAAAAGTTATGTAAGTGTGGTCTCACTGTCTTTTTATCTCAGAATATCTTGTTGTATCTTACTCACTTATTTTTGGACCTGGTTGACCGCAGGTAACTGAAACCACAGAAAGTGAAACTTCTGATAAGAGGAGACTACTGTATTAGTTCAGATATTCCTTACTTTCTCTATCCCTGGTGTCCCCAGCCCACAATGCCTCCTATTCACTAGATTTAGTGAATCTAGTCTTCTGGAGTTTGGGAAGGATGTTTAGAGGTCAAAGAGCTTTTTATACAGATGCCCAGTCAATCTTCCTGTTTTCAGCCCTGCACAATTTTCTACTGTATGATTTTCTAGTGTGTAGAGGTACAGAGTAACTCTAATTACTGACCATTTTCATGATTCTGAAGACATAATCAACTGGTTTCTTTCACTGCTGGCTTAGGGTTAAACTTTCTTAGGTCTGCTCAATCAGGATCACCTGTCTGTCTGTTGTCTCCTTTCCCTCCTCGAATATTTTGTTTCTGTCTTCTCCTAATTTTTTTGGTTGGTCTTTCCCAAAAGTGGAGTGTCAGAAGGTGTTCGACGCATCATGTTTAACAGGAAGTAAATGCATACATTTTAGAAAGTTTTTCAAGATCTTTCTTAGCCAATTATCTTCTCATTTCCTTTCAGTCAATAAGAAATTCAATTCACCTTAACATCACAGTCCCTCCCAACAAACTTAGAATTAATAAATGATGATGGAACTATTGATCTATTATGTAAATAGATACATTATGTTTCCTTGGCACTTTTTAAAGGTTGTAAAGCAGTACTATATTAAATAAATCCAACGAAGGAAAATAATTCACAATAGAGAATAAATTACATAAGTGAAAACTACCTCACCCCCCATATTGCATTAAAGCTGAGAATTATCTCAGTATTCACCTAACAATAGGGGTCCATATTGATTTTAACTGCTAATTACATCAGGGCTGTGCCCCCGAGTTAGAATTTTAAATCTAATTCTGCGTAGTCTGAAAGTGCTTTCCGAACTCTAAGTGAGTTGTAATTTAAACAGAAAGAAATTACAGATCATGGCAAAACAACATATCTGACTAGCTTATCCCACATGAACTGATTTAAGAACTTTTTCATCATCTTTTATCATAGCATGGTCTGGCCTTGTATTTTGGACCAAGGAGTTATAAATTGGAATATTTAACACCAACCCCAGTAGAATAAAACTTCCAACAAATTCAGAATTAATAAATAGTGATGGAACTATTCAGACATTAAGACTGGATATTTCTTTTGTTTGTCAAAGCCATTTGAGTGACAAATAAAAATCTGATTAGAATTTAAGGAGATGTAAATGAGGTAAAGAAGTAGCATGAATAAATTCCTGTTTGCAAAAATGCAGGGCTTGTCTTTCTCTGGACTAATGCCTCAAATCTCTACCTTCCTTTTGAAGGATATAGAAGTAAACACTGACAACACAGGGTTTAAAATATTTGTAAGTAGACAGATGCGAATTTTTGGTTGTGAAAGAAAGGATGTAGAAGATTAGTTCAATTGACTCCCTCTACATTCCATTCCAAACTCACATTATAATGTTATAGAACATTCTCCCACATTTAAAAATGCCTCTTATAGTTCAATAATGTGACACCAGGTGATGAGGCACATCAATTACTAACAAATCCTCTGGCATATTTCTGTTTTGATAAGTAATCCTTAACAATATCCTTTCAATAAACTTCTTTTTTCAGTAAAATGAGATTTATTTTCAGATACTCTTTCAACAAAGTCAAATGGTCTTCTGTACAAGGAAAGGTATAGTTAGACTATTGTATTGTCAATATTTCAGTCTACAGGTATGTATTAAATATCTCAATATGCTCTGAAGTATAGAAAAACATGTTTTTTTGTTTAATTTTATGAACACACCTACCATAGTGCCAGTCACATAGTAGATAACTATAAACATTTTTTGGATTTCAATAATGCTTAAGTTTGTTGACTACCCACTATAAAATAAGTCTTAAGAAATAAAATACCAAACAAGACTTAAGCCTTTTAGGCAAATGAAGAAATAGTCAAATAATAATCTCAAAGTAGATGACAGTTACCTATCACTTACTCATAGGCAGAGTTGATATTTAATTAATATTGGACATAGACATAAACTACATCAGTTGGTGTATAACCACTGCTCTGAACACCTACCCATTCCACTGCCCTCAGCACTCTGGCCCTCTACAATCCAGCAACTAAAGAATGGAAGCCTGACACAACAGGAGGTCTGCAGGGCTGAGAGTCCATTTTGATTGGTCAATGTCTAGGATATATTGTTGTTAAATATCTTGACTATCACTCCTGTCAATATCACCCTTCCCCTCTCACCAGGTAATAATTGCTTAGGGAATGTAAATAAATTTTCATAGTAGCTGGATGCAGATTTTATTAGTGTGCAATCAGTTCTTTTTGGGTGGGGAAAATAGAATGCAGCATTTCCCAAGCTCTTTTCATGGAAGTGTTGATGATTTGCTTGAAAAATGCTGGATTGAACAGTTTATACTTATTTCTTTGGTATAGAATGTCTCAGAGCCTTGAACATATGACTTTACGTTACAAATCTTTAGGAAGGGGTATAATATCTCTGTTTCCCAAACCTACTCAACTGTGGAGCCCTTTTTTGCCTTGAACACCAATTAATATCAATGGATATAATGCTAACTACAATCCTAAATATTTAGGATACCTCTTTGCTTCTCCTCATGTGCGTAAAAGATTAGCATTATTTATTTTTCAATTATCAATTTTTTTTGTCATATTAAGGCAAAGAAAAGTTGTCGACTATTGTTTTAGTTCAGCTACGCTAGGTCATTTTGTGGGAACCCAAAATACCTAAATGTTAGTGTTTTGACATAACAGAAGTTGCTTAACAACACACAAGTTGCTGTGAGTGGGGATACTGTTCTTCAAATAGTGACCCAGTGATGGGGCAGCTTTTTTCTTACGTTGGGGAGCAGTCGGAATGTTTGGTGAGCCCTACTGTCTGTACCACAACTATATTGAAAAGTCAGGAATATTGTCTAATATATTGATTGTCCTTTGGTTTTATTTTAATAAATAAAAAGCTACATATTTTTATCTCCCTCCAAAGGATTTTTACAGTTCTGCAAATTAGCCATTGAAAAGTGTCAGTAGGCCCTGCTTAGCCCATTCTTAGAATGTATGTCAGCATTACACGTTCAGACATTTTGTTCAATCTATGCTGTAGGCAGACAGGATTGAGTTTGGTTATCAGATTTCTGTGCTTTTTGACATCTTGTTTACGTATCATTATCGTTCATTTCAGTGTTTCTTATTCTTTCTGGCCATTTGGCTAATGTGTGTCTAGATACTGAAAGAAGAACTCTATAGTTTTTTTCTAGACATCAGAAGTACTGTCTTTTACCATGATTGTTTCCCTAAGAGACAGGTGAGAAATCTTCCCTAATTTTGGCACAACTGACTGTCTCTGTTGAAGAGATATTCTTGTCTTTGTTATCAAGGAGATAGTGAAAAAGGATATGAACACTGACAGAAGTTGAACATAGTATCCTGCAGTGCCTGGTCTAAACTAATTGCTATTAATTTTTCAGTTTTGTGAGTAGCACATTCACTCAAATTTATTCAGATGTTGGTAAAGCCTCCATTATTACTTCCCACCTCTCAGGCTCTCAGGTGTCATCTACCTGAGTCTGAACATTTTATTGGGAGGAAAGAAGCTACCTTAATCTGGTGTAGACCAATGCTGAAGGATGCTGTATTAATGCAAAGGATGAGTCCCTTCTTCTGATTACTTAAAAGTTTTCCAAAGTGATTTGGACTCAACAAGGTTCACTAATGTAGTTATTTTTTTTTTTTTTAAGACAGTGTCTTGCTCAGTT
Source organism: Homo sapiens (assembly GCF_000001405.40). Taxonomy (NCBI): domain Eukaryota; kingdom Metazoa; phylum Chordata; class Mammalia; order Primates; family Hominidae; genus Homo; species Homo sapiens. The sequence goes on along the minus strand of NC_000004.12, from coordinate 81,993,698 downwards.
TCCCAGACTGGAATGCAGTGGCCCCATCTCGACTCACTGCAACTTCTGCCTCCCCAGTTCAAATGATTCTAGTGCCTCAGCCCCCCGAGTAGTTGGGATTACAGGCGAGTACCACCATGCCCGGCTAATTTTTGGTATTATTAGTAGAGACAGGGTTTCACTGTGTTGGCCAGGCTGGTCTCAAACTTCTGGCCTATTAGCATAGTTTTCATCATGGTGCTGTCAGTAAATATCCAGGAAAGCTCAGCGGCCACAGCTGTATCTGACACTTTCCTTCTTGGGTTCTCTTGTTCTTTCTTTTTCTTCTTAAGTTCTCCTAAACAGGTATGGCCTTTGTGAATTTAATTTTAAAAATTCATAATTTAAAAAATTCAGCAAGTACTGGTTTGCAGCTATATTATACTAAGCCCCTATTGGCAGTCTTTTCTCCTGGCTTTGTGAATTCAGTGTTTTGAGAAAATAGTTTTCTTTACCAAAAAAGTTTGGGACCCAGTTTAGAGTGTAGAAAAGAAAAAATAATTTCCTTTCTACCCTCTGTAGCTCTTAGTTGGAATAGACCCCTGTAATGAAAGACAGATTAACAAGAGAAAAACAAGCAGAAGTTTAATAACATATATGCCTCCTGTCTACATGGGGGATAACCCAGAGAAATGAGTAAATGTCTAGAGTAAATCTTAAAGACTTGTCATAGACCTCAGGCTTAAATACCATTATTTTCTGAAAAATGGTATTACTTATCTATCAGAGAAGGAGACAGCCTTATAAATGGAGATTTCCTTTTGTAAGACAAAACCTTTTTTTTTTTTTTTTTTTTACAAAAAGACAACTGTTTAGAGATATGCCTATGTCTGCAGTTTCTCAAAATAACCAGCCCAAAATAATCGTTATGCCAAAGAGGCGTATTGTGGGGTGGCATATTCTGGTCTACAGTCATATTTTGGGGTGGTGTTTTCTTGAAACCTATAAAGAGTTTTCAGCCTCTTAGACCTTTTTTTTTTTTTTTTTTTTTTAAGATGGAGTTTCACTCTTGTTGCCCAGGCTGGAGTGCAATGGCTCGATCTTGGCTCACTGCAACCTCCACCTCCCAGGTTCAAGCAATTCTCCTGCCTCAGCCTCCCGAGCAGCTGGGATTACAGGTGCCTGCCACCATGCTTAGCGAATTTTATATTGTTAGTAGAGACGGAATTTCACCATGTTGATCAGGCTGGTCTCAAACTCCTGACCTCGTGATCCGCCTGCCTTGGTCTCCCAAAGTGCTGGGATTACAGGCGTGAGCCACCACGTCTGGCCGGATCTTTAAAATAAAAAAACACAATTTAAATTTAAATTAAGAAGCAATATATGCTTATTGTAAAATATTAGAAATAACAGGGAAAGAAAAAGAAAAAAATTTGCCCTTAACTCACTCTGCCCCCAAAATAACTACTGTCATCATATTTGTGTATAATATAGTTTTTGTGAACTTTTTCTATTGGTATAAATAATTTCTCATAGTTGCAATAATAGTATAAATACATTCCATTTTTTAATTTGCATTTTATAGACTCTTTTCCATATTTTATTTTTTTACATAATCTTCATATTTATCATTTTAGTGGGTGTTTACCTGTTTACTGGGTTAAAATGATGATTGCAAAATGAGTTATAGTTAGAAGACATGAATTCTTTGAGAAACATTTCTGCTTCTGTTTTGTTTGTTTGAGCAGGGTTCTGAGATACACAGGTCACTCTCCTCCTCACCTGGGCATGTGCACACCTATTTCTTTATTGGCCTTGTTTTCCCTCTTTTGCTTAATACTTGAAATACTTTTTCATGTATATATCAATAATATTAGAAACTTATTTGGAAGGAAATAATGAGTGAAAGGAGTGGTCTCTGAAGATGATCTTTCTGGATAGAGTCAAAGGCAGAGCTTTTCATTTTATCTGACATTTCATTCAAGTGAAAATAAGAAACTGCAGCTGTATTTTGTTAACTGCAAAACTGTGCATATATATCTGAGGAACTTTTATCAAACATCTTAGCAAATGATCATCAATGCTTCTAATTGATTCATTACAATATGTGTACTTATTTGAGCATATTCTTGGGTCCTCTGCATTCAGATGGCCTGATTTGTAATACATGCCATTCTTTTCCATGGTTTGCATATCAGAAATGATGCTTCTCCCCACCCCACCCCACCCCCACTGCTGCTGCTGCCTCTACCTGGGATTATGCAGATTCTGGTTTAAACCTCTTTATTCTTTTCTGCAAGTGCACAGCATGATGGACTTCATTTCTGTGGGTAAATGATAATGGATTTCAGCTTTCACCAGTGACATTTGGAAACTACGTATCTTAAATCATATGTGTGCCACACAATAAAAATGATTGCCCTGTTCTAATGATGTGAAAATGTAAATAAAAATGAGTGCTGTAAATATGTAGAGGCCAAATCTTAAAATGAAAGTAAGGAGTCCTAATTATTTTAATGGAGACAATTTTATGATTTTTCAAGCTGGATGTAAAATACAATCTTATCTATAGTGGGTACTTGGGATAATCAAGGGAAGGCCGTTAGGAAGGGTTTAATTTATTCTGTCAGATGTTCAGGGCTCTAAAACATTTCAACAAATCAAAGCCATCATTTGAGAAATAACACATTAAAAGCCAGCATTGGATACCACAAGCCTGCATCCTTCCTGCCCTTTAATCCCAGTAGCAGTTTTACATTAAATAAAGCATACTTATCATTGATTAGCACTTATTTTGATCTCACTGGGTGTACAGTGCTTTTTGATGCTCTAGATGTCAGAAGATTCAGTTTCTTGTCTAAAATAACTGAGTATCTTTTGTTTATAAAGATAAACATAATGTGTGGACGGTGTTAAAAGAGTTCTGATAAATTTGTCAGACCTGGGCTTTATGGTTGGGATCTAGAGGGGGAGGAGAATCAGGGCAGCAAGAAAGGGCCCGTGGGGCAAGGGTATTTGGAAAAAGCGGGGGTGTTTCCCTAAAGAGCAGTGACCTTGAGAGATGAGATTACTGGAACCTCAGATTCCAGTGATGCTTCTTGAGGCAAAGAAACCTTTGCCTTATTCCCTTATTCCCATTTACTACTAGCAGAGAATGGGAATCAGTTTCCTGCCTTTACTAAAACATAATGAGCTTCTCTTTCTCATGCTTCTATTCTGTAAGAGGAAGCAGAGGCTTTTCTGTCCCAAATGCCGGGGGAGGACCCTTCCTCATTTCATATTCCTGAACCATCTGGGCCTTTGCCCTTGTAGTATTGACTTGTAGCAGTGACACCTCCACCTCTGCGTGATATGTCTTTCAAGTGAGAAGGCTTTCCTGGTCAATACTGAATCAATTTGTGCCGGCAGTCTAATTGAATGCCTCCCTCAGACAAATAGGTCACTGGGGGAAAGGGTAAAACCTTGATATGCAGATCTGAATCGAAGCCCCCAGTGAAAGCTGTTTTAAAAATATATATTCCTCTTGACAAGTAGTGTATGTAACAAATGCAGTGCTAGTTATTTGCTCAGCAAAATGAGCATAAATCAATCTCTTTATAGCCTTCTTTTTATTTGATTACTATTATACTTTAACTTGATCTCTGCAGAAAGAGAGAGAGAGAGCATACAAAACTCTAGAATGACCCCTAGGATGGGAAATTTCTTGCCCTAAAGTTTAGGGTATGTGGATATCCCTTTATTAAATGGGATACCATTTCCAATTAGCAAATTATATCGATGATGTTTAAATTATTTGACATCTTTAATATTCACAAATTACAGCTTTTCCAAAGATGAGCTTGGTTTTTCTCAGTGTTCTCTTGGGAACTGATGAGAAGAAAGGGTCAGGAGACTCTCAGGTGAGTGCTCAGAATTGTGTTTGCTTCTTCCTAAAACTCTCTTTTAGTCCTTCTATAGCTCTATATCCAATTTACATGAGGAAACGCAGAAAGCTTAGCTAATTTACTGGTATGAACCAAACTCTGGTGTCTCCAAGGCCCAAATACTTTTTTTCCTTACAGGGTTAATTAAATTTTATTATCACTTATTAAGATGGTATTGGGGATAACCCTTTTTATTAGTCTTTCATCTACTGAAGGAAGCCAGAATATGTTACTCCAAAAGATGCCTCTTAGACATAAAACTCATTTTGAGCTGAGGGCAAATGGAAGGATTCAGTCATAGGAAAGACTCTCTGCTCTTCCCCCATCCCTCCCCGTTTTTTGCCCTCATACATATGTTTACTGCAGGGCATATGTTTACAAAGGCAAAGGTGTCTGGCCTCCCTTCCTTACCAGGGAGAACAAAGGTTAACCACTGAAGACAACTCTAGACCCTTATCAGCCTGGAGAGGACACCAGTTATCTACATAACACACTTTACTAACTAGTCTTTACCATTTATTTGCCTTACCACAATTTGCTGTCCCTAGAGACTCAAAAGTTCTTTTCCTTTGTCCTGACACTTATCTAAAAATTTACTGTTCTTTTTTGAAGATGCTATATAAGCTGGAATTCAAAACGTCCTCTTAGAGAATTACTCATTCCCTGAGTGTCTCCCATGTAGCTGTATGAAATATGCATGTTAATAAACTGCTTGTTATTCTCTTGTTAGTCTGCCTTTTGTTATGAGGTCTGTCCCACCAGTGAAACTAAAGATAGGTAGAGGAAAATTATTTTTCTCCCCCTATACTACATGACATGAAAATGTATGCATTCTCTGTATATTGGTTTCTCATTGTTGTTGCAACAAACTGCCACAAACTTAGTAGCTTAAAACTAAACAAATTTGGCCGGGTGCAGTGGTTCATGCCTGTAATCCCAGCACTTTGGGAGGCTGAGGCAGGTGGACCACGAGGTCAGGAGTTCAAGACCATCCTGGCCAAGATGGTGAAACCTCGTCTCTACTAAAAATAGGAAAAATAGCTGGGTGTGGTGGTGGGTGCCTGTAATCCCAGCTACGGGGGAGGCTGAGGCAGGAGAATCGCTTGAACCTGGGAGGTGGAGGTTGCAGTGAGCTGAGATCATGGCCACTGCACTCCAGCCTGGGCAACAGAGCATGACTCCATCTCAAACAACAACAACAACAACAAAAACAAAACAAATTTATTATTTTTCACTGCTTGAGGTCAGAAGTTTAAAAATGGGTCTCACTGGGCTAAAATCAAGGTGCTGGCAGGCTTGCATTCTTTTTTGGAGGATGTAGGGGATAATCTGTTTTCTTGCCTTTCTCAGCTTCTAGAAGCTGCCGCTGTTCCCTGGCTCGCGGTCCCTTTCTTCATCTTCAAAGCTAGCCATGGCTGGTTTAGTCTTTCACACATTGCATCACCCTGACCTCTGCTTCTGCCATCATATCTCTTGTCTCTGACTCTGACCAACTCTTCCACTTTTTGCCCACTTGGTAATCCAGAATAATTTTCTCATCTCAAGGTTGGCTGATTAACACCCTTAATTCTTTCTGCAACCTTAATTCCCCTTTGCCATATAATCTGACATATTCACGAGTGCAGGCAACTAGGACATGTACATCTTTGGGGGACAATTATTCTACTTCCCATACTCTGTGAAGTCTTTTAGCAGAATTATACAGTGGCAACAGGCTCACTGAAGTCAGACTGCCTGAGTTCAAATCCTAACCCCCTGCTTTCTCACTGTATGATTTGGGGCAAGTCAATGATATTCTCTGCATCTTGGCATCCATATCTGTAATATGGAAATAATAATTTGTGGTGGAGGTTGAGATACTGTATGTAAAGTGCTCATCATATGCCAGTACATGACATAGGGTAGATGTCCAATAAATATTGAACATGGGGCTCTGTGCTCCATAAGATTTCATAGATATTATGTTGTTTGTATTCACAGTATGACTCTTACTAGTAATACATCTCTAGTTGATTTTAAACTTCTTTTAAGTCAAAGTTGTAATTGTAGAAAACAATATGGCTTACAATTAAAGGAAATCTTACAGGGGAATCTACCATACTAATACTTTAACATAATCACTTGATTTTTAAATACTTCTAAATCTGCTTATAAACATTTTATAGTTATTTACAGGCTTCTAGAGAGTAGGGAGGCAGTGGCTTGAACATTATTAGCATGCAATGAATGCAGGTGAATGACTGAATGAATCCTAGGAGGCTGAAGTGGCCAGAGGTGAGGGCAGAGACTGGGAAGTGGTAAGGCTTTTGCATTCTCACATTCCTTTTGCCACACCAAAAGTCCCCTAGCAGGTCACTTAACTTTGCTGTGTTTAAATCTTCTCAACGCAGCAAAGACATGGCAACTTATTTAGAGCTGCCTTGATCAATTCAGTGAATTTGGCTTTAGTCATGTGCAAGTAACAGAAAACTGGGCTCAAATAGGCTAAAGCAATAAGATGTTTATCAGCTCTTGTAACTGAGAAGTCACGGAGGTAGGTCAGGCTTGGGGCCAGCAGTTCACCAATGCCATCCTTTTGTCTCTACCTTTCTCTTCTCTGTTTTCAGTATGTCTGCTTTAGTCTAAGGCTGGCCTCTCTTATCACAAGACAGCTGCTAGCAGTTTCTAGGGCTCTTTGCTTTCTTGCTTCTGTCCTGCAGGAGGAGAGAGAAAAACTCTCAGTGGTAGTCACAAAAGAGTAAAGAACTAACTTTCTTAGAAACCAAGAAGCAGCTGGGCGTGGTGACTCACACCTGTAATCCCAGCACTCTGGGAGGCCGAGATGGGCAGATCATGAGGTCAGGAGATCGAGACTATCCTGGCTAACACAGTGAAACCCTGTCTCTACTAAATATACAAAAAATTAGCTGGGTGCAGTGGTGGGCGCCTGTACTCCCAGCTACTCAGGAGGCTGAGGCAGGAGAATTGCTTGAATCCAGGAGGGGGAGGTTGCAGTGAGCCGAGATCGTGCCACTGCACTCCAGCCTGGGTGACAGAGCGAGACTCCCTCTCAAAAAAAACAAAATAACAACAACACCAACAAAACAAGTAGCAACTCTTCATATCTCATTAGATTGAGTCTCAGACCCTTGAGTCATCCCTGGACCAATCACAGTGGCCAAGGGAAAGTGGTTGTTGATCAACTTAACCCAATTAGAGTTCACCTTTGGCTCTGTGTGTGTGTGTTCAGCTTTTCCCTAAAGTGAAGTTACCAAATAAAATGTAGAAAATGTAGGCTGGCCAAAATACTCAAGCTGCATGAGGGGAGAGGTTTATTCTGAGCAGTCAAACCCAGTAAAAATGTAAACAGCTCAGCCCGTCTGGGGGTATAAAAGAGGAAACTTCTAGGCAATGAAATCTGGCTGAGTGGAGTCAGAGTCTCTTACACCTTTTTAAGCAGGTTCCTTTAATCATCCTTCTGGCTCATCATCTTTTTAATTTATGGAGCATTTCCTAAGGGTTTCAATGCAGAGATTTGCTTTTAAAGTGTCAAGTACTTCATTTATTCATTTGCAAGGATTTATTAAAGACCTACTCATGCAAGCTGTTCTGCTGAGCGCTGGGGATTCAGAACTGAATAACAAAACAGCCGCCAAGTTTAAAGATCTTACTACCAAATAGAGCCCCTGAACTGCTAGGATTCTTGGTTGATTTCAAGGATAAATCCTTGTCAGATTCTCAGTCTGACTGTAATTGGATCAAGAAAGTGAAGTCTTTGTGTCGGTACCTGAGCAGAAAGAACTCACCCACTTGTATCAGAGGGATCAATGTTGGGGGACAGAGCTGATGCATTTTGGAAAGGATGCAAGTAGTCTGGAAGAAAGGTGCATAATCAGTAGCAGAGAATGATACAACTTAAGCTTCTTGTATTAAAGTTGTAAACATAGGAGAGCTGGGAGATGGGACGGAACAACTGATATTGGGATATAGAATGTTGTTGCCGCTTGAAATGCATTCCACGGGGGTCTTGTGTGAACTTAATTGAAAGTGGTTTAAAACCATGCAGTTGCATCACAGTTCATGACCTCTATTGGGAAGCCCTAGGGAGGAACCTGGGATCGAATCTGTCAATTAAAATCCTATTTTCTATCATAGAAGTTGGCCATCTGGGTCATCCTGAGAGTTTCTACTGTTGATGAACTTCACATTCTAACTGCTTTCTCTCTAAATAACTACGTCCCTAGGGTAGAAGGTGCAGATCCCTAGGTGCATATGAAACTTACTTAAGCAGTAAAGTGATTTCCTGCAGGTCATCTTAGGAAATCCTGAAGGACAAGGGTCTAGGCTGGGGCAAAAGCTAGGGTTAAGCCAAGTTGCTTAAACTGTATCCCTTCATGTGGTTGCCATTCCCTTTCAATTTTGTAATGTTTGAGTGCTAGATGGACAGCGGAAGCCTAAGTATATTAAAACACATTTAGTATTATAATCAAATAAAATTTCAAAGAAAACTAGGAGGACCCATATTTACGACATTTTTGGTCATTATTACACATGTGACAGTAGTCGTGGTGATATTTTCTGCCTGTTATTCTAATTAGTAGTACTTTGATACAGTCAGACCAGTTTTAAGTTCTCCATTCTTTTTGTTCATTTTCCAGCATCCATAAAACACGTTAAGACAAATTGTCAGAATCCCTAAAGGGGGCCTGTCAAAGAAAACCCTCTGTCCAACCTGAGTGCTAAGGAAGGTAAGAATTAAAGCAAGAAAGTAAAGCAGATCAGAATTCAAAATGCCAACTTTATTACTCCTAAAGGCTCACTTGGAGTATGCGTTTCATCAGATGTTCCTACCTAGTCATGGGCTGTGCTGGACCAAGGCCTATTCTCTGTGGGTTGGGGTGACAGATGGCAGGTTTGCTCTTGGAGGAATACAAAAGAACCAGGAGGTAAAAGAGAAGAGCTGAGCGTGTCCAGTTTATTCCTTTAAATTTTTCGCTTAGGCAAGTCACTCCCATAGATCATGGGTGTTACATTAAATGAGCTCCCTCCATGTGGAAAGCTTCATCAAAAGCAGAGAAGTGTTCTCTTTAATGCATAAACAGTTCTTTTGATATTTTATACAGTTTAATCCTCTGTTTATATACGGACTCAGCCACACTATCATCCAAAGACACGATCTTGGATTCAAAATAACTGTGGACCTCCTCTGTCCACTATTATCCCCTCTTCTACCCTTGTTCCTCCTCCACATGCAGTAAAGCTGGTCACTGAGCTCAGGCTTTTTGAGGTTCTCTTCTGTATTTATTTTAAATTATTTAATTGTATTAAATCTCAATCCTATTCATTGGGATTGTAGCTTGTCGTATGCCAGTCATTTTATATACATCATCCCAATTAATTCATAACAAGCCTTAAGAGTAGGATTTATTCTCATTTATAGAAACCAAAACTGTCTTTTAGAGAGGGTAATTCATCCACGGTTAAAGGATAGTAAGTAGTGAAAACAGGATTCAAACCTGTGTTCTTTCACTCCAAAAGCCTATACAAGGGCTGAGACTGAAAGAAGCTGATAACCCCAAGTAGTTAATTCTGTGGTTTTGGCAATATTGAAGACGGGTCTGAAACAGGTGAAATGCATCTATCATGTCCTGAAAAGTGAGCAAGGCCACATCAGTCTTTCTTTCCTAGAAGAGGAATGGTGAATAGCGTAGTTGGGTATTGAGCTCTCTGAAAAGGGAGAGAAAGGTAAGAGAAAAGCCACTTACATCTTTAATATAGGCATCTGTCCTCCTAACCCCCATAACTTAGAGGGAAGTTACAAGCTAGAAGGCTGCAGCATTAAGTTTTCTAGCTTTTCTGCACATAGTAGGATGTGGACTTGGAAGAGGCTTGATTTACCTTTGGGTGGGAGCCCTGAAGCAGAGAGAGTCAGGTGGGTAAACAGTGAGTTGCATAGCTTATTGATCTACTGTTTTCAGGCATGTGTTCTCAGTCACTGGCTCCAAAAGGCCTCCTCTCTTTTAGGGCTCCTCTTTCCTTTCTTTCCTCCAGGGAGGACAGAGGGTTTTATTTAAGAGGCCCCCTTCAGGAGTCCTGACAACTTGTCTTAATGGTATTTATGGATGCTGGAAAAACGAACAAAAAGAATGGAGAACTTAAAACTGGTCTGGCTATATCAAAGTAATACTAAGTAGAATAACTGGCAGAAAATATCATCATAACTGTCACATGTATAATAATGACCAAAAATGTCATAAATGTGGGTCTTTTCTTTGAAATTTTGATTGTTAACACTACATATGTTTTAATATACTTAGGCTTCCTCTGTCTATCTAGCACCCAAACATTATAAAATTGAGAGGGAATAGCAACCACATGAGTGGATACAGTTTAAGCAACTTGGCTTAACCCTAGCTTTTGTCACCAGCCTAGACCCTTGCCTTGTGAGATTTCCTAAGTTGACCTGCAGGAAGTTACTTCACTGCTTAAGTAAGTTTCATATGCCCCAAGGGTTCTGCACCTGCACTGCTAAGAACTCATAGCTCCGTGGTCAACAAGGGCTTCTCTGCTGTTAGTGGAGGAGGAGAAGGAAAAGTAAGTGAGCATTCTATATTTCTTTTTGGTGGAGTAGGCAGCTGTGCACATGCATATCTGTTTCTGAGGATACATGATTTCCGATTATCTTTGTCTCTGGAGCAGAATGCTTTCCTTCACTTTCTTCCTGGTGAATAATGCCATAAACATCTATTACTTTCATCTCTGGAAGTGCCATGCATGTTCCACTCCAACTACACCATGTCCCAAACCTCTAATCAAAATATTAAGGCAACCTGTCATTCAAATCCTATCTACCTGCAGCAGTTCCCTAGACAAAGTCATCCACATTGACTACTATGTGCACAGCAAGTTGCTTTTTGATTTAAGAGAAACTTGAAATTGTTGTAGCTCAGGAATAGTGTATTGGTGATGACTACTTTTCTTCTTTCCTAATTATCTGGATATCTGATAAGAATAATGAACATCTCACCCAGAACTATAGGCAAAAACCTATACCTCTGGTGTGCAAATGACTGTGACTGAGAGGGAATGGCAACCACATGAGTGGGTAGAGTTTAAGCAACTTGGCCTGTTATGTAGTGTGGGCCTGAGTCACACAATCAAATTCTTAATTGAAGAGAGATGGCAAAAGGAGATTTTAGAATATTATTAACAATGTTTCTGAAACACTTAGGATTTCCCATAACAAGGAAATATTCCCAGGTTTCTGGTTCATTGGTAATTTGAGTTTGCCTTTGTAGATTTACTCATTTCTCTTATTAACACTAAAAAGTAAAATAAATAAAATTAAGGCCATAAAAATTCATTCTCTTTGTTTCTGCACTGCCCAAGAATACTATGGAGTAAGAACTCCAGGAAACTTAACTTGATTTTAAATTCTACCAATAAATGTAAAAAAGGAAAAGAAAACTATGTTTCATTAATTTCTCTCACTCTGTGTCCATCTTCTTTAAAACAAATTTGGAGCCTCTGCCAAGATTCTGTTCCATTGGTTTTAGTATTAGTTGGGGTGAAGAAGGAGCCTATCAGTCCTTTCTTTAAAATTGTACCTTGGAGACATTCGTGTTGTTCATGGAGTACTTAAGAGTTTTGCCCTTGAACTGATTCCCAAAAAGGAACTCATTTACAGACTTCAATATGAATATGTAATCCACATGTCCTTGAATTTGGCAGGACCATTGAAAAAGAACCGACATGTTATATGTGATATATTTTTTATAAGGCACCTTAGTGCCATGTCATAGATTAAAATGGGCAGGTGATTCTGGCCAAAAAGATAGTTTGTTAAATCTAGCTACAAATGTGGAAATTTGACTTATGTTTAAGTTTTCCTGTCACTAGAGAATAGTTTGATACAATTTTCTTTGTGTAATTGCAAAGAATTGTTTGCGGTGGGGAAAAATCCTTTAACTTGCCAGAGGGTCTTTCCTTTGCCTTTTCTATTAATAGCTCACATTTCTTGAGATCTAATATTGGCCAGCCCTTGTGCTACATACATTGGTGAATTGGTAAATGTTTAGAAACTGGATCTCAAAAATAGTTCCGATTTGTAGCTTTTGCCAGTTTCTGTGGTGTAAATACTCCCACCATGGTCAGTTTCAAGCCATGATTGTGCTGTCACTGAAGGGAGTGGGGAGTTGGGAAGACATGCTACCAGTAGGCTCTTGTGGGCAAATAGGAGTCAATTCCAGTACAGCAGTGGCTAGACGTTTACATGTGCTAACTCTCAACGCAGTTCTACGATTTAGATACTGTAACTACCACATTTCAAAGATGAGAAAGCTGAAGCATTGAGAGCATTAACTTATCCAAGTGACACAGCTGGTAAGTGGGACAGCCAGGATGTGCACACAAACAAACTGGCTTCAGAGTCCATGCTGGTAAACATTTTGCAATCACCTTCAGCCCTGGTAGTGGTTTCACCTCCAGTTCAGAAGTTTGGTGGACATATTGTTTATCAATATGAGGTCACTGAGTGTGAAAATTATAAAGTAGAAAATTGTATTACTCTATAATTCATCTATGTTTTATATCTTTATATGTAAGTTCATCTTTGTAAATTACTTAAGATAATGGTTATACGTGGTCATCATTTGGGGGCTAAGATTGTGTCCATTTTTGGGAATATCACTTAGAGTAAGTAAAAACCATCTCGAGAGTGTCGAGAGTGAGTGTTCTGGTAGAAAATGGAGGGTGGGGAGCACCTGTGGACAGATGAGGGATGATGGGTAGGGTCTGCCATCAGGGACTGGGAACCCAGGCTCCTGGCTGTGAGTCGCATATTACTTAGCTGGAGCAGCTTCCTGGACCACTTCCACTTGGATTTCCTAGGAGTGCCTCTACATGTCTGCTGCTCTGCCCGTGAGCCCCAGGAAGTGGCTTGAGCTCAGCATCTCATAAGTGCTGGTGTCTCCATGATTTGAGCTATGAACCCCAGGTAAAGGGAATATGCCCCCTCAGTAACCTCTCCTTAGGCTTCTTGGTGTTGGAATTTTGTTTTTTGGGTAGAGACTTAAGTACGTGGCAATGAATGATCTTTTTTAAGGGAGCCTTGACTCCAATTTAGGTATAAGATTCTGTTACCAAGGAAATTATAACTGTAATTACTATTTTTTTTAACACTTAAACTCAATGCACCCACAATGGTATCTGTTAGGTTGGTGCAAAAATGATTGCAGTTTTTGCCATTACTTTTAATGACAATTAAATGCAATCATTTTTGCACCAACCTAAATATATGTAATTCACGTGTGCCCTGAAGGAAGTTGCTTCCCGTCACATCTAGTACTGTTTATAAATTATCTCACTATTTCACATGTGCTATTCGAGCATTGCACAGTTAATACAAACAGAAAAAAAATAGCCTTTTCTTGGTAGCTCCACACGTCTACTGCCACCCACCTCCCCTGCTTCACCTCATGCCAAAGAAGCACCAAAACCAGTCACCTAAGATCTTTGTGTCTGGATCAGACTTTATAGCGAGTCAAAGGGGCTTACATTCTCCAACAACATTAGTAACTTGAAATTAAAATTTAATTTTTGGTATTATTTACAAAAAGCCTCATCGCAATTTCCTTCAACCTAAACTCTAGTTTTCTTTCATTTCCTTTGTTTTATGTTTCTCTTTTCTGACCCCAGAAAGTTCTATTTCATTGTCTGGTTTTCTCTATTCAACTGCTGCCAAAGTCAGCTCCAGGCATCAGTCTCTGCAAACTAAAATCCCATTAAAAGTGTTCTGAAAAATCCTGACCTTTTCCACCCTTCTCCACTTGCCTTTAAAGGGGGAAGGGCCATGCAGAGCGTTGGTCCTCACTGATATGAAATATGCCCATGTGCACACACCCCCTACCTGTACCCACTGGGCAGACCCAGCTCACTTTTGGTTCTGGTAACAATTTGATTTTTCCTTTTCACATAGGACACATATAATTCTAGGATTTTCTCTAATGCAGTGTGGTTGTAGATGTAGTGATGATATAGAAGGTGAAATTATAGCTTAGTATGATTGTTCAACCATGCAGTCTGTTTTGTCCTTCAGGGGTTCCATCTCATTTATATCTTTTTATTTCAGTATCAGTTTTATTATTTAAATTAATCCCATTAATGTAGGGATGGATTTTACGGAATAGAGATTATAGAAATATCTGGCAACAAGAATCTGTGTTCAGGTGTATTCAGAGGGTGGGTGCCTTTTGTAAACAGGCCCAAACAAACTTACTTGGATATGCTTTTGGGTAGATCTTAGTAGCCCCCTAATAATTACAGGGTATAATGATTGGCTACCCACTCCTCACCTGCTTGGCACCAGGTTGTAATGAAAGCAAGTCTTAGATTAAATTTTTCCACTCATGCAGATGCTTATTAGCAAGCACAGTTATAACACTTGTTCTGCAGGTGGATGAAGCCACAGTTCTGTCCTTTTTGGTCTCCCAAAACATCTTGCAGGTAAGGTTCACTTGAGGCAATGCAGCCCTATTTCAGTGTCAGGAATCAGTGAACTATTGGGAAACCAAAAATCTGCTGACCCACTGGCTGGGCACAGGATGTTTAGCGATTAAGCTGCAATTATAAGCCTCATTATATTTTGATACTGTTTTCATGTATTAATATATGTAGGGGAGTGTCCCAATCCACCTGTTTTGAACCCCTCTAATTTCATCTATGGTAACCCATTTCTAGCATGTGTTATGCTAATTGCAAGCCACTAATTGCACCCATGAAAACCCTTTTTAGCCTTTATTAAGCCACTTGTCAAAGCCTCTGGTGTTGATCAGAGATAAGGACAGCTGAAGGCGCTTGTAGTAGTTGCCTGTGATTACATGGTGGCTGACTATCCCTGGAATGTAAATTTCCAATTCTGGTAACTATAGTTAGATTGTAGTTTAACAGTTATATAACACCATGTTGTAACAAAGTAGGAGTTTAGAAGGAAATATCCTTTGTCCCAAGATATTTAAGATTTTGAATGTTCTTTCTAATCACAGGACATCATTACTCCTCTCCTCCAAAGAGTATCTCCAAGACTACAGAGACAGCATGATACTGTTCCTTTTTCTGCAGCACAAGATTACAAACAGAAATAGAATACACTGTTGGAAATGAACATGAATGAGGCCAGTCTGCTTTGATAGAAATACATCTTGTGATGGGTTAGAACTTAGAACTTTCTAAAGGGATAGATACTCACTTTTCTGGCCTGTGAACTTTGTTTCCCTAAAAAATGAACTAAAAAGAATGCTAGAAAAATGTAGAAAATAAATCCCTAGAAACGTCTATGTGGTTTATTTGTATTTTATTTCTTTTAAATTCAGTGTGGTAAATATTGTTTATGACACGCAGACCAAATAAAATCCATAGCAATTTGAAACTCTGCCCACCATTAAGTGTGGGGTTTTTTTTTTTCTGGTAATTTTATATCTCAATTCAGACAAACTGATGCTTGTTCCATTAAGGAGAAAAAGACAAATAAGGGGAGTAGGCAATTAACCTTCCTAACCAACCTGCAAAATAAAATATGCATGGAAACTGTGGTTCTTAATTAGCCAAGGACAATGGGAAAACAAGTTTATGCAAGTTATGCAAGTTATGCAATGGGAAAACAACCACTTGAAAATTGGTTGCAAATATGTCTACATTTTTATATTATTTAAGTTAGATGGCAGATTTATATTTCTAATTAGGATCTCAATGGTAAAAATTTTATATTGAGTTCCATTGGAGGAGTTAGAAACGAGCTAATAATTTTGTTGATACTTGTGTTCTAGAGAAGTGAGTTCAAATTTTGATGTATAATATTTTACAGGCAGATTTGAATAAATGGCTTCCTGTCAGTCATGGTAGACTGCTTATGCTTTTACTTTCTGGCTGCCACATCTTTGAACATAATTCTCCTTGTCCTCATTGTCCTATTCCCTTACTGCCAATTCACTGACCTCTCCAGTCTGAACTGTATAACTTTTATTGTGCTAAGCCTGTGATTTCTTCAACGATAGGATGGCGAAGCCAGGGAGGATACCTGCGTTTGGATCTGCATTCATTTGGGATCTTGGTGGTAGGATCAGAAGGACATATCCAGTTGCGAGTGCTGGGAAGTCAGTAAGTGTGTCTCGGTAAACATGGTACCTAGTAAGGAGTGAAATTTAAAGTCGTCCATGATGTAGGGATAGAAAGGATATAGCGTTTGTGCTCACCAGCCCTAGCCTTGTACACAATTGAAAGACATCACTAATTGAGGATGACATTCTTTTTTTAGGACCTTAACATTGCCTTGGACTTCTTTTTAACAAAGTGCTCTAGGCAGCCAGTACACTTAAATGAATTGATCCTTGTGGTCTAATTGGGCAACTTAAATAGCAGACAGATCTAGGTGATAAGAAATTGCAGAGCAGGCAATATCTGGAACACAGCAGTTGGACAGTTCATAGGCATTGTTGGAGCAGGCTCTTAGCCACTAACGAGCCTGAAATGCTAGTCCTTTGGAGAGTGACAAGCAAAAGCAAGACATGAAGCATTCAGTTGTTAAGGTAACAGGATGTGGGAAGGTTACCAAGATGGGGAACAGGACAGAGTTCCAGAACTGGGCTATCAAGTGGGGACTGGCACTCAAGAAGAAAGAAAAGTCATCTTATCAGGCCTGGGGAGGAAAGTTGAAGCTGAGTTAGCTACAGGGAGAGCTTGATGTTATTCCCTAAAGTGATTAGGGCAAAGAGGGAAGAGAGGAACAGTTTTCATTTGGTACCTGCTGTGTGCCAGGGACTGTTTAGTACTTTACAGACTTGGTCTTATTTCAGAGGCAGCTTCTGTAACCCCTTCTGCCTCATAGTAGGTTTATTCCTGGCCTAGATCCAGGCTGCCCTACAGAGACCTAGCACCAGGCCAGAGCCATCACCTGCCACCTACTCTCTTATTATTTGTCTTTTAAAATCCTCAACTGTATTTTAAGCTCTCAAGGGAAGACACCAGGCCTGCTGCTTCTCTGTATTCTCCTCAGGGTCTTATGTGTCTTAGGTACTTGAGAAACAATTAATTGATTACTATTTCCTGGTACATGTGGCATCTGCTTTAGACAAAAAATATTTCTGAGGATTGTGTCTCAAAACAGATCTCTGTGAGACCAAATCCTGACTGTCCTTGCACTTCAGTCTCATATAGTCATTGTATAAGTAGGTAACACCAGTAAGAAGTAAGCTGCAGATCTCAATATGTCATAAGTAATTAGAGAGAATTCACCCAATGGGATGTTTTTCACACAGAAACTCTATGTGAGGAAGAGTCTGGGCTGCCAGCTGTGAGGCCTAAGAAAGGAAACACAGTACCGAATTCTCACAACTTCTCTAGGATGAGAAACCAAGAATCCCAGATATGTCCCTGCAACCCCCCTGCTCACCTAATGTGCCTTTTGTTTTGTCTGCAACTCCTACAGTACTTACCTGCACCTTTGAGTTAAGTCCATAAGCGTATATGTTAAAATCTAGTTAGTCTCTGGAAGACTTACATTAGACCATTATCAGTCTTCTGTTCTGCAAGATCAAAATGATGATTCTCGGTCAGTCATGGTGGCTCACACCTGTAATCTCAGCACTTTGGGAGGCTGAGGTGGGTGGATTGCTTGAGCCCAGGAGTTCAAGACCAGCCTGGGCAACATGCTGAAACCCCATCTCTACAAAAAAATTCAAAAATTAGTTGGGTGTAGTGGTGTGCACCTGTGGTCCCAGCTACTGAGAGGGCTGAAGTAGGAGGATCTCTTCAGCTCAGGAGGTGGAGGTTGCAGTGAGCCAAGACTGCACCACTGCACTCCAGCCCAGGTAACAGAGTGAGACCCTGTCTCAAAAAAAAAAAAAAAAAAAAAAGTGATACTCTTTCTCTAAGGTCTGTCCAGTTAAGCTTGGCATTGCAATATAATTTGAGAGGAAAATTGTGTCCAAATTAAAAATGAAACAAATGGTATGTTTACTATGTCACTGACTTCTTTGGGCAAGGTAATAAACCTCTTTAATTCTCAGTTTCTGCATCTCTAAAATGAAGATAACAATGCCTGCATACATGTTTTTATGAGGATCTAAGACAATGCTTATAAACTACACAGTATGTAGTAGATGCCCAATGAAGTGTGGATGTTATTACTACATTTTAAAATTGGTTTTTGGAAAGTAGGAGATGAACCATTCTTGTCCATCTTTATTCTTTTCTGACTTTTTCTTTATCCAAAAAAAACAAATGAACCAACAAAATATAAAATCACTGTGATGTGTTGCATTTTTAGTATTTCTATCCATTGAATATGCAAGTATT
The DNA here is from genome assembly GCF_000001405.40 of Homo sapiens. Taxonomy (NCBI): domain Eukaryota; kingdom Metazoa; phylum Chordata; class Mammalia; order Primates; family Hominidae; genus Homo; species Homo sapiens. Next base: position 81,975,489 of record NC_000004.12, on the reverse strand, counting down.
TATCATTTGTCATTTTATCACTAAGGTAACATATACCGTAATGTAAGTGCAAGTGCAAATATTGAGGCATATGCTATAGGGGTACAGCATTTTACCCAAGCTGTCAGGGAATTTAGCTGATAGACAAGGGCAAGATGAACCTTTGATGTACAGATACTATTGAAAAAAGCAAACCTGTGTCTTTGAAGGCACAAGAAATCCAAAATGCAAATATGGAGGATGTCTCCCTATCACACCCCCATCCCTGCCATGTTCTTCAATATTATAGTTTTCAGTATTTGTTCTAGCTCTCAGTGACCTTTCAATCCTAACTGATATTCTTATTTATATATTTAAATATTCTTATTTATCTCATATCTCTTACACAACCATGACAAATCACAGTGAGATGTACAAAGACAATCCTAATCCAACAGTATCTTGGCACAATTAGCTTAAGAAAAATATTAATTCATGATAAAAGCCTGCTGTGTTGTATGTAAGTGTGTGTGGCCTTAGTCACTACAGAACTGATTAATATTCTGCAAAAATATTTTTACAAGCTCAGTTTCAGTTACTATAATCATGACAATAATTTTTCACACCCTGGCACCTATTGAATTAGCAACCAAGTTCTTTTCTTGAGCCATTATTCAAATGGATTCCATCTGCATTCAAATTAGTCTCAAGATCATAGAAATTAACAATGGGAAAGGTACATTAAATCACATAGTCCATTTCTTTGCTAGGGGAGAATTGATCTGTACATTATAATCTCTAGTGCTTTGTCTGGTGTGTTTTAAATGTCTCAAATAAGTGTTATTCTGATTCTGGGTGGTCATCTCTTCAAATTCCAGGGGAAATTCTTTTTCACAGCCTACTGGTGTGTGTGTGTGTGTGTGTGTGTATGGATTTTCTGATGCTGTGCAATTTGCCGGTGCTCAGAGCCTCTAGGAATCAGGCAATGAATTTTCCAGAGGGGTGTGTGTGGGGGCGGTGGGGTGGGTGTATGCATTCATTGAAGGGGTTTAGGTGAATCATGGTGAAAGGGAGAGAAAGACAAAAAGAGGGCAACTTGAGAAGGATGGTATGTTCGATTGTATTTGAGATTGGACAGTTGTTTGCTTTCATTTAGTGATACCCTGGGTGGTTTGGGGAAGAGAAGGGGGAAGTAGGCATAGTCACTAAGCCAAGAGAGGGGCACTGAAAAATGTTGATGAGTCTGATGCCAATTTGAGTAGGAATTATGACATTTTTAATGAAGTCAAATATCTAGAAGTCAAGTGAAAAATTCTTTAACTTAGGTTATATATTATTAATCTTACATATGGATACCGTATAAGTTATGTGCTCTAAAGTAGAAAGTCAGAGTCTAGGCATTCTAATGTTAGCCGTTTTTCTTTCTTTTTAATTCAGTTGAAGCCTTCCAATTAGACAGATACAGAGACAGATAGACAGAATAGTCATCTATACTTACCATAAAGCTTGAGAAACAAAGCATTATTAGTATAGTATAAACCCTGCCTTGATTGTTGTTTAACTCAAATGTTCTCAAATTTCTTATTTATAAAATAAGATAAACAGAAGTGAATCAAACACTTCAAAAATGTTAGGGCATAGCATAAATGTTAGGTCATAAAATATAAATAACAGCAAAAATGTTAGGAGATAAAACAAATTATATGATTAATAACACATACATTATTAAAATTAAATGAGTTTTATAGAAGACGGAGAAAGAGTTGTCCCTAGAACTGACATGAGAAGCACAAGGATTCCTTCTTTCAGAATCTCATGGAATATAAAGATCATAAAGGACCTTAAATTTATTCACCTTCTGTTGTGTTGCTTGAATTTCCACTTTAACATCCAGGACAAGTATCTGTTCAACTCTTGCTTGGTCACCTCCTGTGATGAAAAAGTCATTAGCACTCAAAGCTTCAGTTAATAGTAGTTTGAAGGTTCTTATTTCCATTCAGACTCAAACTCTCCCTCCTCAACACTTTCACCCATGGGTCCTATCCTTAAGGGCCATACAAAACTAATCGAATCTCTTAGAACAGCTCTTCACACTGTTGAACACAGTTGTCACTGCTCCTTGTCTCCACCCTCTGAGTGCTCCTACCTCCAGTTTCTTAATCTAATTCACTCTTTCCCAGACACCATTGCTCTGCCTGCTTGTTTTGGACATGACTGTCTTAAGTGGTGGCTCCAGGCAAGCCTATTCTTCACAGTCTTTATGAAATGCATTCCTTCAGTGCCTGGAACATAGCAGGGACTTGATTTTTATATTTGCTACGTGGAAGAGCATATTCTAGCTAACCCCATAGAATATGCATTTAGTATTGTAAACCTCAGTTTACAAAAACAATTTCTTCAGTACCTCTCATGTCATTTTCTCCCCAAGTCTCAGTCCTCATTAGATGAGGGAAAAACATCACTTTTGCTTCTAACTCCTTCAGTCTCTCACAAAGTGATCCACCTTTTTTGATAAGCCAAAAACACAGCAAGAATTACTTCAATTACTTCCTCTCCTCCTCTCTTCCAAAAAAGGAAACCAGTTTGCATTTCACACATACAGTACTCTCTCAATTGCTAGCTAAAATGTATTGAGGGTTTACTTTGCACCGACTACAAAGCCTTCCTGTAACCTCTGAGAAACCATGGTGTAGGCTTTACTGCAGTGACATGATGGTATTACTCAGGCTGCAGCTCATCCACATAAAGTCCTTGTGCAAAGTGTGAAAAGGTACCCTCTGTGGTGGGCTCCTAGAAAAGCCTTCTCTGCCCTGCAGGAAGCCCCCTCCCTTCTCTATCAGACACCTTAGTGGAATCACTCTTGGACAAGCCAGCAAATCAGATCTGATAACAGAAAAGCTCTTGGAAATGTTTGTTGATTAAAGAATGATGTTATGAAAAGAAACAAACCAAATGCTAATTAGTGACTTCAAGGGGAATAAGCCAAAATAATTTAAGTTTAGCCCTGCCTGCAAAGTAAGGACACTTTGCTCAGGCATGTACTATTTTGCATAGAAAAATACTAACAAATTCCTCAAGGGTGAGGAAGGTTAATAATTTGAAACTGGACCTGCTGGGGTTCCTGATGCTGTTGAGTTCACTGCCTACCAGATCACTAACCTTGCCTTTTCAGTTAAGTGTTGCTGTACGGACAGAAGGTGGAGAAACCACCCCTGCAGGTTGCCTGCTGCCTGATGGTCCCAGCTCTCCATCCCAGGTATTTGTTTGGTGATGAAAAGCTGAGCTCATGAAGAAGTGGAAAGTGCTGGAAGAAAGAATTAACACATCCTTCCTAGGGAGGCCAAATGTTAGATCAATCATGTCTTCCAGCCACTACAGTGATTGCAGGGAATGAGATGTTAATTTATGCCCAGTGCCATCAGGAGCCTGGGAAGTGAGTTCTATGATCTGTCTGATTCTTCAGCCAATGTAGCTGCCTCTCTGTAACCTTTGGGCGCATGGCAGGTGCACCCCCCCTGACTTCAGTGGCCACCTATGGGATCCGCAGACTAGGCTTCATCTCCTTACTTTCCTGTCACTTTCCACACTCTCCAGCATTTCTTCCTCCTTCCCCCTGTCTAAGTCTGAGGTGCCCTGGTGGTAGGACAATAAGGAAAACTTTGCAGTCACTTGGAAAAATTGCTGACCAACTGAAAATACATTTCTACAACCTGCAGGGAAACAGTGATGTGTGTAAAAATGAAATAGGTTTATTTTCTGTGGTTTTGAAGAAGCCATTTGGAACTATGGAAAATAGCACCCAGTTTTGCAATACTGGGAAGCTGACCTTGCAGTTTGTATATGGTTATCTACCCACCCCCGCCCCCCTACCACCATCCCCCACCCTCACCTCTGCAAAAGCCTACGTTCTGTCTTTTTCTGTGAAGGTGGATGGGGAAGAGGTAATGGAACCATCAGCAAGCAAGCCAGAATTCACCCCCTAGCAATATGAATAATTAGACGTTCTTAAGTGGAAATTGGAATGGTTACAGATGATGTAACATTTGTTGATGTAAAATGGAATGTCCCCAGCAGCATAGATAGCTTTAATTGTTCCTATCCCAGAGTTTTTATAAAGCCAGTGACAAACTATATTTTGTAGTATTTTCATGGCAGATGCCCTGGATGGCAAAAAAAAATACGGAAAGTTATCTTTCTAGACAGAGCAAGAAAGCTCAAAGAGCAGTGCTTTGTGCTGCATTGCAAGTGTAATAAGCCAAAGGTCATTTTCATTTGCTTTTTGTTTGTGTCCTGTCACAAGGTATAGGACACCTTGTAGGACTGAGCCATGTGCTTGATCTTGATGAAGTGCTCTGTTCATTTTGTTACTCATTTCCTCTGCAGTATCTCTTATTCAGAGGGACTGGGAGGGAGGATGACATGATAGAAGTTTGGAGAAGAGGATGAGAGAGTTTCTTGGTCTGGTGTGTGGAAAGGTCAGATTGAATGAGGGGACCTTTCTGGTAGACCTCTTATGCTGATGACTCCGGTCACCCTACAAGAGCTTGGAAAAGTGTCATGGCTCTGGGTCATAGAGGAGAGGTTTGTGCCATTGTTTCCAAGGCTGTTTCGTTCTTGATGTGAACCTGCCGTTATGGTTCAGTGATTATTCACAGACTCACAGATGGAAAAACTCAACCTCCAGGGGCCATCTCTGTAGTGTGTCCAAATTCATATTCTCTAATTTCTAAGCCATGTCTCAGTAGAAGCTATCTTTGAGCATATGGTGTCCATTTTAATGCACTACACTGACTTGTCTTCTCAGTAAGGTGTTTCACATAGTACTCTGGTACAGCAGTACAAACATCTGTGGATTGTGAGAAGTGCAACCCACTTCCACTTCCATGGCTCCACCCTGGCTTCAGCTAGGACTGGTTCATCACTGAGGCCTAGACACTGCATTTCAGTTTCACTCCTTTTCTTTGCATCACTCTAAATCTCCTGGTATTGGCTGTGGATCTCACTGTGATATCTGTGCTCTGGACTTTCCTCCTGGTCTTTCTGCCACTCTGGTCTCCACTGCTTGCGCATTTCATGGCTTATCCCTCCATTCAACACTGTTCTAAAAACAGGAAAAGAAATCCTTGTCCTTATGGAGCTTACATTCTAGTTGAGAGAGCAAGTTAAAAAAACAATAAGTAAAAAATACTCCAAACACCCAACATCCATATATGTATGTAGAGGAGAGTGTTGGTGGCAGGGTTAATTTTGTGATACAGTCAGTGCTGCTCCTGTTCCTATGCTGAAGAACTCTACTACGTACCTACCACCTTCTTTCTGGGTAGCCATAGAATCTACCTTCCTTATCATTTTTGGGTTTATTTATTATTTATTTTTATTTTTAACACCTTTATTGAGCTATCATGGACACATAAAATGATATATATATCAGTTTTTCATATATATCATATATAAATGATATATATAATATATAAATGATATGTAAATGATTTTTTTTACTTTTTTTTTTTAATTTACTCTCTCCAACTAGAATGTAAGCTCCATAAGGACAAGGATTTCTTTTCTTGTTTTTAGAACAGTGTTGAATGAAGGGATAAGCTATGAAATGCACAAACAGTGGAGACCAGAGTGGCATATATGTAAATGTATACATATACATATGTGTACATTTATATATGATATATATGTATACATATACATATGTGTACATTTATATATGATATATATGTATACATATACATATGTGTACATTTATATATGATATATATGTATACATATACATATGTGTACATTTATATATGATATATATGTATACATATACATATGTGTACATTTATATATGATATATATGTATACATATACATATGTGTACATTTATATATGATATATATGTATACATATACATATGTGTACATTTATATATGATATATATGTATACATATACATATGTGTACATTTATATATGATATATATGTATACATATACATATGTGTACATTTATATATGATATATATGTATACATATACATATGTGTACATTTATATATGATATATATGTATACATATACATATGTGTACATTTATATATGATATATATGTATACATATCATTTTGCTATATCATGATATATATCATATATATCATTTATATATATGGTGTACAACTTGATGTTTTCATATACATATACATTGTAAAATGATCACCACACTCTAGCTAATTAACATTTCTATCACATCTAGTTACCATCTAGTTACCATTTGTGTGGGTGTGTGTCAAGAAAATTTAAGATCTCTCCTTTTAGCAAATTTCAAGTATGCACTACAGTATTTTTAACTATTGTCCCTGTGTTGTATATTAGACCTCCAGAACTTATTCCTTCTGTCTGACTCAACCTTTGTACTCTTTGACCAACATCATGCCATTTCCCCTTGTCCCCTAGCCCCTCTTTCTTCTCTTCTCTTTCTGTGCCTTTTTTATTTCACTTAGCATGAATCCTCCAGCTCCATTCATGTTGTCACAAATGGCCAGGTTTTCTTCTTTTTTAAGGCTGAATGATATTCCACTGTATAATTAAATAAACATACAAATGTATGTATACTACATTTTCTTTATCCATTCATCCATCAAAAGACATTTAGATTATTTCTGTATCTTGGCTGTTGTGAATACTGCTGCAGTGAGCATGGGAGTGCAGATATCTCTTTGACACAGCGATTTCATTTCCTTTGGATATATACCCAGGAGTGAGATTGCTGAATCATATGGTAGTCTATGTTTGAGTTTTTGAGGAACCTTCATACTGTTTTTCACAATGGCTGTACTAATTTACATTCCCACCAACAGTGTACAAAGGTTTATTTTTCTCCACATCTTTACCAACACTTGTTTTCTTTGTCTTTTTGATAATAGACATCCTGATAGGTGTGAGGTGATAACTTGTGGCTTTGATTTGCATTTCGCTGATGGTTAGAGACATTGAGCACTTTTTTGTATGCCTGTGGAACATCTGAATTTTTTCCTTTTTTTTAGAGAAGTGTCTATTTAGGTCTTTTGCCCATTTTTAAATTGGGTTTTTGTATTTTTGATACTGAGTTGTATGAGTTACTTGTATGTATTGAATATTAATATTTTATCAGATATGTGGTTTGCAAATATTTTTCCCATCCTATGGGTTGCATTTTCATTTTGCTAATTGTTTCACTTGCAGTGCTGAAGCTTTCCCCATTTGTCTATTTTTGCTTTTGTTGCCTGTGCTTTTGTGCATATTCAAAATACTATTGCTAAGACACTAAGACCAACATCAAGAAGGTTTTTCTCTAATTTTTCAGCTTATAGTTTCAAGTTTTATGGTTAAGTCTTTAATTCATTTTGAGTTGGTTTTTGTGTGTGGTGTGAGAAGGGGTTCAATTTCATTTTTTTTTGGAAGAAACAATAATTTCCCTGTTTTGTGTCCTTGGAATGCATGTTGAAGATCAGTTGACTGTAAATGCATCTGTTTATTTCTGGGTTCTCTATTCTATTGCATTGGTCTATATGTGTGTTTTTTATGCCAGAACTATATTGTTTTGATTACTATAGCTTTGTAAGGAATTGTCAAAAAGTGTGATGCTGGCAGCTTTGTTATTTGCTCAAAGTTGCTTTGGCTATTTTGGATCTTTTGGGATTCCATATCCTTCTTGGATTTCTATTGCTTACCCCATTGAAGTGTGATAAAAGTGGAAATTTTGCTGAAGATGGAGAGCTGCTTCATTAACATTGCAGAAATAGACTCATTGTAATAATCTGAAAATCTAGGGCTTTTCCTTTGTTGGAGTCTAGGTATTTGATTTGGGCTGACTGAATTAACTGTAGCACTGAAATGTTGTGCTCATTACCTGTCACTTCCAAATGGATGTACATTTCAAATTTATGGTGCTTTTCCATTTTAGTAAAATGTTTTTACAAACACAGTCTCATTTTAGCTTCACAACAGTTTAGGAAGGCAGGCAGATCAGATAGCATCTTCCTCATGACAGTATCACACCATGAATTTTGGTCCTACTGTGTTTCCCTGAGCATGTTACTTAAAGTCATAAAGCTTGTTTCTTCACCTCCAAAGTGGGGATATTAATACTTACCTTGCACAGTTCAGGGTGAGGGTTTAATGAAAAAATATAGGTAAAGGTACCTATTAATAGATAGCGCCTGACACATCATAGGGATGCTAAATGACAGCTGTTGTTATAATCATTATTATTTGCAGTTGAGAAACAGTCTCCCCCGGGAAGCAACTTGTCTGCTATGGACCAAATGTGTGAGTTCCCCCAAAATTCATATTGAAAGCCCTAATCTCTACTGTGATGATATTTGGAAATTGGCCTTTGGGAGGTAATTAGGTTTAGAGGAGATTGTGAGGTAAAATCCCAATGATGGGGATCAGTGCCCTTATGAGAACAGGAAGCAGCCAGAACAAGGGTATGGCAAGAGGCAGCTCTCTGCAAACCAGGGAGAGGGCCCTCACCTAATATAGAATCTGTCATTACCTTTAGACCTCCCAGCCTCCAGAACTGTGAGAAATAAATGTTTGTCTCTTAAACCACCCAGTCTACGGTATTCTTGTTATAGCTGCCCAGCCCGAGGTTGTTAATGATAGACTGAAACCCAGATTGAGAGTTTGTTGTTTTTTCCATGGCAACACCAAGTTTATGTGACACTGTTGTGTAGTTGTTAGGAAACTCAGTGAGACATCTGTATTACATTTTAGACCCATAGGCTTTTAATACTATAAAAATATTAAAGGTCAACAAATAATTAGTGTAACTGATCTTTTGACATGGTGCTCATTTCAGGGAGAAATGGAATCTGTAATCAGAGACAAAATGATTTTTTTAGTATTTAGATGGTCTCTTCAGGTCCCAAAATGTTATCCATGAACTTGAGAGAAGAAAACACTAGGATAAAGTCAAACAAAGAGTGAGAAAGCTTCTGGTGAACCTAGGGGTGAGTAAAGAGGTCTCAATGCCTTTGAAATTCACTGGGGATATTGGTCTCAGAGGATATTTTTCTAAGCGATAGATAGGATTTTCCCACCCTGAGGCATCTAGATGAATTAATTCCCTAATTGTGAATGATTAAGACATGTTCCCTGGGCTCCTCCCTGAAAGGTTTATTGGGATGGATATATTGCTTGAACAAAATTGGCACTAAGAACTGTTTAAAAACAACTGCAGCACCCACCAGCTTTCACGTACCTTCAAGACTATTTTCTGCAATGTACATATGTAAGGCTTAAAATGTCCTGTATTTTAAATAAGCAGCCCCATTTGTGTAGTGCTTTATGATGATGAAGTACTTTTACATACATAATCTCATTTTAGCCAAATGACAATTTTGCTAAGTAGAAGAGCAGGTGTTCTTCCTGTTTTCGTGGTCGGGGATGAAACCCGTGGAGGGTGATCAGTGTTGCAAACTCAAACCCCATCAGTTATGAGACAATAGGGAGTGGGAGATAATCGGAAAGAAACTGCCTGGTCTGAAAGTGCTTAGATCTAAAAATGTGAAAAACCCTGAGCTGGCCTATTAAAACATGTCTGTGGGTCAACATGGCCTCTTATTTATAATGTTTCTAAAGTCATAAAGCTTGTAAGTGGCAGAGTTAGGCCTGGGTCCCAGGTCTTTGTCTCTACATTCAGTACTCTTTCTCCAGCACCTTTATATTAAGTCCCTTGGGTTTCTATGAATAATAACAATAGCTAATATTTACTGATCAGTTTACCATGGTCACTCTGTTCTTCTACACCCTATTTATTTATTTAAAGTCTTGCAACAACCTAATGAGGTGGGTATTGTATTGCACCCATAATGCAGTGAGGATAGTGAAGCCTCAAGAGAGGAAGTGGCCTGCCCATCAACATGTCACATAGCTCAGAAGCAGAGGAACCAGCATTGGGAGGCATGCAGGTTAGTTCTAGAATGTATGACATATGCATAGTATCAGAGCACTCATTCACTCTCTGAAAATGAAAAAATAAAAAAATCTGTCAGCCAGAATCACAGGTGTATCGTCTTCTTGATAAAAATATTGTTTTTAGAGTATGGAGATTTCTCAAAAAACTAAAAATAGGATCACCATATGCTCCAGCAATCCCACTACTGGGTATTTATCCAGAGGAAAGGAAATCAGCATATCAAAGGGATACCTGCACCCCCATGTTTATTGCAGCACTATTCACAAATATGGGGAGTCAACCTAAGTGTCCATGAACAGATGAATGGATAAAGAAAATGTGGTACTTACATACAATTCAGCCATAGAAAAGAATGAAATCCTGTCTTTGCAGCAACATGGATGGAACTAGAGGTCATTATATTAAGTGAAATAAGTCAGGCACAGAAAGACAAATATCACATGCTTTCCTACGTGGGAGCTAAAAACATTGATCTCATGGAGGTAGAGAATATAATGATAGTTACCAGAGGCTGGAAAGGGCATTTATGTATGTGGGGGTGTTGAAGTGAGGTTGGTTAATGAGTATAAACATACAGTTAGATAGAAGGAATAAGTTCTAGTGTTCAATAGCATAGTACTTAATATATTGTATATATTGTATATTTCAAGGTAGCTAGAAGATTGAAAATGATCCCAACACAAAGAAATGATAAATGTTCAAGGTGATGGATATCCTAAATACTCCAACTTGATCATTACACATTCTGTGCATGTATCAAAATATCACATGTACCCCATAAATATGTATAAATATTATCTATCAATAACGTATACTGTATTTGAGAAATCTCTTTATGATGTAAAGGGTAAGACTGAACCGAGTACCTTTTTCAGGACACCGGCAGGCTCTGCAAGCATCGTCAAGGCTGGTGCCTGGAATTCAGGGCCCTGCAACAGTGGGAGAAGCCTTAAAGTAGCAGGGATGGTAGGAAAATTAACAGCCCTGGGAGGGGCATGCTTCATCTCTTTTGGAGATGTGATGAGAGTATAAAGGATATATGCCCTCAAATTAATTTGAATATTTTTTCATATCTTTCCCCTCCTGATCAAATTTTCCACTTTGCTTTTTAAATAATAATTACAAGAAATGTTTCCATTGCTTATTAGCTATAAGACTTTGGGAATGTGGCCGAACTCCCTTGCACTCTCATTTCCTCATCTATAATAATAGACCTGCCTCAGGAATAATGTAAGGAATATATGCATATATGTAAAGCACTTAGCATAGTTTCTGGGATCTCCTTTATAAATGCTTAATAAGTGTTAGCTGCCATCATTGTTACTGATTTAAAAAGTGATGGTAAAGTCTTAGAACTGGTATATTTCATCATAGTCCAAATTAGAAACACACAAGCTGATCACTTGGGTCAGTGATTTATTTTGTTCTAGCTTAAAAATATACCCAAAACATTTTATTGAGTTTCACTGTATATCAGGCCCTCTGCTGAGAGTTTACATACCCCATGACTAATTTGATCCTAGTGCCAAATTTAAGAGATAGCTTGGGCAGAAACTAATATTATTTCCATGTGATACTTGTGGAAACAGGCTGGAGAGGATAAATGATTCTCAAAATCACTTAGCTAATAAAAGGAAAATCAAGACTATTAATGAAATCCAAGCTTTCTGACTTAAAAACCCAATGCTTTCTCCCAATTCCCACCCTGTCACTCTCCCCTGACCTGCTTTTGTTTATCTCTGCTGATTACCCTGCTGTCCCTGAATTCTGGCTGAACACAATGGTAAGCCAAATGACTTTGCCTGAGGCCTTCAGGCTCTGCTTTCAGCTTCCTTGCTTTACAAAGATTTTTTAATGCTTAAAAAGGAGTTTTTCTTTCACATTTAAAATTTTCTGTCTTGCAATTTTCCAAATCTATGAATTCAATGTCCTGTGTTCTGTATCTCATTAAGGAACTGAATGATGGCTTTATTGAATACTCTTTAAGGCTTATGCTGAGTCACTTGAAAAATGATCATATTCAAAGGAAGATAAATTGAGAACTGGTGGCTATACAATCTATAAGAAAGACCTAGAGCACCATGGTGTCTATGTATGTGTCTCAATTAGTGAATGAAAATTTGCCAAATTATGCAGTTGATTGGAGCAAAAGAGTCAATGGCGTAATTTTTCTTTATGAAATGAAAAACTCACTTTATTTTTAAAACTAACTTTTGCTTGATCTTTGGCCTCATTTTAGTTTTGTCTTTGCCTTTCCCTTCTCTGGGGTATGGCTCCCTTCACTGTCATCCCCATTGTCTTTGTCTGACAGTCCACTTGAATGGACACTGCAGACCACTGAACAGGTCTAGCAGCAGTTGAGGCTTGTAGGCACTGTGCTGGTGCTGTGTGCTGCATGCTTGGCTGCTGCAAAGAAAGTGCAGCAGCTCAGAAGGAACTCCATGTCAATTGGGGCCAGAGTGGGATGGGGGTAACCCCCTCACATCCTCTTGCTGTAGGCTAAAGTGAGAATTATTTAGTAATATGCACAGTTTCTTATCTGTTCCAGTGGGGAGGAAATGCTAAGGATCAGATATATGGGTGAGTCATTCATATACATCCATTCATCAAAAAGTTATCAAGGCCTCCTATGTGTTTCTCTCTAAAATATAAACTCTAAAAACCTAGCACAGTGCTTTCTACGATTTTCTGTTGAATGGACAAATTAATGAACGAGGAGAGGAAAAACACTGTGCTGTGGGAGCATGTAAGAGGGAGACTTGATTGCTCAAAGAAGACTCCAGGAGGAAGAGACATGTAAGAGGGGACTTGATGGATGAGTATGCATTAGTTATGAAGTAAACAGGTGTGTGAGGATCTGAATCCAACAGTACAGTATTCTCTAGAATCCTCATCACAAGGGAGTACAGAAGGTGGCCACGATGGGCACAACCAAGCATAGGGAGACACTCCAGAATAAGAGCTACTGGCAACATGAGAATAGAGCTGGACATGAGTAAGAGGTGGCTTGATCTGTTTGTTATGTGTTTGTTTATTTAACAAATACTAGCACTTACTATGTAGTGGACACTATTCCATGTGCTTTATATGTTCATTCTCATAACAAAACTATTTATTATTTCCATTTTACAGATGGGAAACTGAGGCACAAAGAAATTAAATAACTTGCCCAAGGTCCCATGGTAAGTTGTAGATAGGGCCAGGATGGAAAGCCAGACAGACCAGTTGCATTTTCTTAATCCCTTCACCATACTAACTCTTATTGATGAGCAAAAGAGAGGTTGAGGGACTTGGGCTTTCAAGATAGGAAAGTCACAGGTACACCTGGAATCCTAGGGGCTGTCTTTATACAAAGGCAAGGAAGCTTCTACCAAAAGCAGATAGGTATCTTGCTTTGTGATAATACAGTAACTTAAGTCCCTGTTGCATTTAAATAAAGAGAAAAAGTTTCTTTTAAACTTTTTCTGACCTTTACTATTGTGTGTGAAAAGGAAAAATAAGTAGAGAGAGAGAGAGAGAGGGAGAGTGGGAAACTGGGTATATAAACAGGGTAAATTTTGCTTAGTGTTATAGGAATTCAGCCAGCTTTTTGTTCATGCCTGGAGGGTGATCACTGCTAAAGCCTGGTCCTGTGTTCCCAAAGCTGCCCATTATGAAGTCTGGAGTTACTTTTGCTTTCTATTGCTTCAGACACAATCAGAAACCCCAAGTAAACCTTGAAATGGTGGTATACAAGAGAGAGTCTGGTGCAGAGATAATTTGAGACTCCCTTCCCCAAATTACCTAGATGAAATCTTGATGTACATACCTGGAAAGTTTTAATAAATATAGTTGTAATTATTACCCCAAATAGTTTGTCTATTTCTGAAATTTCTGGAAATATTTTAAAACAATTTATGTTTAGATTTAAAAACTGACCACTTATTTTTCGTATAATCTTTTCTATGTGGAGCTTTTCTGGCGTCAGTGAATATGATCCCTATGGTGGAGTCAGGAGGAATTCCATGAAAGGCCAATGTGGATAAGATTCATGATATGAGCCAGTTGATGGAGCATCGGTAATTCAGATTTGCTAGGCTGGATTGATAGAATGACCTTTGGTGAAAACAGCTTGTAGCTATTGTTTACAATAGATTTTGCTTCTAACCAGTGTTTAGTGAGTAGTCCCCCCAGCCAATTGTATATTGGCTACTGGACCCAGGAGCTCAAGCTCATTTTTTCTCTCCCTAAAAGCACTATCATTTCCAGAGGCCAATGCATGTTAGAAACCTATTCCTGGGGTTGGTTTGTCAGGAGAGGGAGATATAGTAAGAGGTTGTCGGGAACAAACAAAGACATCCCTGACAATAGCGATTTATCTTGCTACCTGCAACATGCCCTTTGGTTTGATAGCTGCATGGGCTGGCTGGGATTATTTATCTTGAGCTCACACTGATATATGGAAGTGTGCTTCTGGCAGGCTTCCTTCCTTTCTTCCTTCCCTGCCTGCCCAGTTTCCACCGTTCATTCTTCCATATCAGAGGGCTGTCAGCCAGCGTTGTCCTGGGGAATTAGAGGGGAGGGCAAATGCCTAGAAATATCTTAGGAGAAATGATATTCTTTGCAAGCAGGACTTTATCTAGTTTCTTTTTTCCTGTCAGTTAAGCCTTAGGAAATCAGAGATACCTAGGAGCGTATCTGGCATGTGCAGGGACTGTTAGACTGTGCTTCTCTCCAGCGGTGGATCTCCTTCAAGCAGACCGTCTCTCATCTTTTACATTCTCAAAGAACAGCCTCCTTTATGCTTCCTTCTGCTGCCTGGGCTTGTTCCAGGTGATGTTAACATGTGACAGGTGCAGGAAGACCTTGGGCAGCAGCTCTCCTATGTTTGAGCCTGGGAAAATGCTGCTCCCTCTCTTAAGAATCTTGTCTCCTCCTTACTCCATACTTCGCCTAGCTACTTCCTGGTGGCTATTTACACATGCAGCTCAGGGATGACCTTTTCTCAACAGCTCAGCTTTCCTTCTTAGACTGTGAGTTAAAAATCTTAGAGACGGAGTCTTGCTCTGTCACCCAGGCTGGAGTGCAGTGGCGCGATCTCAGCTCACTGCAAGCTTGGCCTCCCGGGTTCGCGCCATTCTCCTGCCTCAGCCTCCCGAGTAGCTGGGACTACAGGCGCCCGCCACCACGCCCGGCTAATTTTTTGTATTTTTAGTAGAGAGGGGGTTTCACCGTGTTAGCCAGGATGGTCTTGATCTCCTGACCTCGTGATCTGCCCGCCTCAGCCTCCCAAAGTGTTGGGATTACAGGCATGAGCCACTGCGCCTGGCCCAAAATCTTAGAGTTTTTCAGGTAGTTGAAGGCTGGAGAAAGTTATTGTTCACAGGTCCCTGGGCACTGACTCTGATATCTTCTGCCCAATCCCAACACAAATACACGTGAGTGTACACACACATGCGCGCATGCGTGCATGCGCGGCGCGCACACACACACACACACACACACACACACACACTCACTCTTGCACCCTGCCCCAAAAGAGAATGTGACCATATCCTTGCTGGTTTAGTTCACAAATCAGGTGATCCCAGTGTTTGTAATTGGAATCAGGTTGTCAAGACCAGATGTTGTTCTTCGAAGACTTAACTGGGAAGAATTTAATGAAGGGACAATTTCCAGCAGTGTGGGTGAGTTTAAGAACCAACAGGAGGTAAAATACCCAGGGACTAGTGACAGCAAGAATGGCAAGGCACAGGAACAGAGCTATGGATGCCTGGAGAGAGACGTCACTGAGAAAGAGAGCTGTAGAAATGCAGCTGTCTACTGGAAGCCCAGTGAGGTAGGGATAAGTGGGGAAATTCATCCCACTGCCATTCTCCCCAGGGCCACTCCCAACCAGAAGCTGGAACAAGGGTCATGGAAGCTCAGGTGATGATTCCATCAGGGTCACACTCCTGGGGCACAGAGCAAGGCAGGGAAGCATAGTGTGTGCATGGCCCGAGGGGCAGGGATGCAGGGTCAGCAGTGGTGAGGGCAAATAGAAAATAGCATATAAACATCTATTTTGTTGTTCCATCAACCCCCTTGAACCCCCTTTGGGCAGTCTGGAAAACTGTCAGGTCAATTTTCAAAAGAATCTTAATAAATCCAAAAATAGAACACAGAGAATTACAAAGGAAACCAATTATATTGAAATATAGTTATCAAAATACTAAAAATATGAAATTACGATTAAGTAATATAGATGTTTGTTTATTAACACATGAAACTACAAAATCTAACGATGACCAAATGTTCTAAATAAGTATAAGTGATATTTCAAGATACCTCCAACAGCAGAAATGTCTATGAAAATATCTCCAGTGTTTCTATTGGGGATAAAGTTTTAGGTACTTCTAGTGTTATTATGTTTTGTTGCCTACATTCATAGCTGAAGAAAATTCTAAATTGCAGTTAGAGTTTGTGATGTAGATAAAGACATAACTTCCCCCATCTAGGTTCATGGAGCACTGAATTCTATCCAGGGCTCCTTAGAGGTCTGAGAACCTCAGATTAAGAATGCTTGCTTTAAATATAAGTGCAGGGATTGTTAAATTGTAGGGCAGTGGTAATGTAAGCCTGAGTGTGAAAGGACAGCAGTGTAGCCAGAATACCGTTTAACAGTGGTAGGATGCTTAATGTGCATGTCCTAGGGACCTGGAAAATTCATACTAAGAAATGATGCATTTACCCAATTCATTGGTAGCCCTCTGCTTCCATTAAGTACAATATCATTGGCTGTGCTAGAATATAAACTTCATGAGGAGGTGATTTTAAAAAAACCTTGTTATTGAAGTATTTTATATAAAAATATACATACACACACACACACACACACACATATATATATACGCATGCATATATCCTAAGTTTATGGGTTGATGAATTTTCATGAACTGAACTCACTGGTGGAAGAGGAACACAGATCATCACCAGCATCCCTGGAACCTCCCTCAGGTCTCCTTCCTGCAAGGGTAGGTACCCCATCTCCCCCAGGGGTAGCTGGTATCCTGATTTCTAACAACATAATGAAGTTTTGCCTGTTTTTGTTATTTATAGAAATAGAATAATGCAATGTGTATTCTTTTGTGTCTGGCTTCTTTCTCTCAAATTACATTCATGAGATTTGCCCACATTGTTCCATGTAGTTGTGGGTTAATCATTCTCATTGCTGTATAACATCTCATTGTATGAATGTACCATAATTTATCTGTTCTGGTATTAATGGGAATTTGGGTTGTTTTGAGTTTTGGGCTATTATGGGTAATAATTGTTATAAATATTCTAGCATACATTTTATATTGAACTACGTCTGTTGAGTATATACTTGGGAGTAGAATTGCAAGGTCATAGGGTCTGAGTATATTCAACCGTAGAAGATACTGCCAATTTTCCAAAGAGATTGTGTTGATTTATACTTCCACCAGTTCCAGTTGCTCCAAATCTTCACCAACACATAGCATTTTCTATCTTTTAAATTTTAGTCATTCTGGTAGTAGTAGCCCCTTGTGGCTTTCTTTTAAAAATGTATTAATATTATTTTTGATTGATAAATCATAATTGTACACATTTATGGGGTACGTTGCAATGTTTTGATGTATGCATACAATGTGGCATGGTTATTAGATCAAGCTCATTAATATCCATTGCCTCTCTTACCTATCTCTTTTATGGTGTGACATTTGAAATTTACTCAGTTATTTTGAAATACATAATACATTACTATTAACTATAGTTACCCTGCTATACAATAGATCTCAAAACCTGTGCTTGTCAGTCTGAAACTTTGTACCCTTTGATCAACAACTCCTCCATTCCCTCCCTCTTTACCCTCCCAGCCTCCTGTAACTCTCCTTCTACTCTCTACTTTCATGAGTTTAACTGTGTTAGGTTCCACATGTGAGTGAGTTCATGTGGTATTTGTCTTTCTGTGCCTGGTGCATTTTACTTAGCATAATATCCTCCAGATTCATCCATGTCCTTGTAAATGACAGGATTTCCCTCTTTTTAAGACTGAATAACTTTGGGAGGCCGAGGCGGGTGGATCGCCCGAGGTCAGGAGTTCCAGACCAACCTGGCCAACATGGCGAAACCCCGTCTCTACTAAAAGTACAAAAATTAAGCCGGGCGTGTGGCCCACACCTGTGATACTAGCACTTTGGGAGGCCAAGGCAGGCGGATTGCCTGAGCTCAGGAGTTCGAAACCAGCCTGGGCAACATGGTGAAACCCCGTCTCTACTAAAATACAAAAAAAAGTTAGCTGGGTGTGGAGGAGTGCACCTGTGGTCCCAGCTGCTCAGGAGGCTGAAGCAGGAGAATTGCTAGAGCCCA
Organism: Homo sapiens; assembly: GCF_000001405.40. Taxonomy (NCBI): domain Eukaryota; kingdom Metazoa; phylum Chordata; class Mammalia; order Primates; family Hominidae; genus Homo; species Homo sapiens. The sequence continues at coordinate 81,957,236 of NC_000004.12, read as the reverse complement.
GGAGGTGGAGGTTGCAGTGAGCCGAGATTGTGCCACTGCACTCCAGCCTGGTGACAGAGTGAGACTCTGTCTAAACAAAAACAAAAACAAAAACAAAAATTAGCCGGGCATGGTGGCGCATGCCTGTAATTCCAGCTACTTGGGAGGCTGAGGCAGGAGAATTACTTGAACGGAGGCAGGTGTGTGGGGAGAGAGGGAGGCTGCAGTGAGCCGAGATCGCACCACTTCACTCCAGCCTGGGCATAGGAGCAAAACTCCATCATCCATCATCTTGGAAAAACAAAAAAAAGACTGAATAATATTCCATTTTGTACACCATACTTTCTTATTCATCTGTTGAAGAGCACTTAGGTTGTTTCCATATTTTGGCTTTTGTGAATAATGCTGCAATGAACATGGAAATACAGATATCTCTTCAACATATAGATTTCAGTTCCTATGGGTATCTACCCAGAAGCGGAATTACTGTATCATATGGTAGTTCTATTTTTAGTTTTTAAAATAATCTCTATACCATTTTCCATAAAGACTTACTAATTTATAATCTCACCAACAATGTACAAGAGTTTCCTTTTCTCCATATCCTAACACTTGTTATCTGTCATCTTTTTTGATAAAAGCCATTTTAACAAGTGTGAGGCAATATCTTATAGTGGAAAATTTTAATTTGTGTTTACGTAATGATTAGTGATGCTGAGTATTTTTTCATGTACCCACTGGTCATTTGTATGTCTTCTTTTGAGGAATGTCTGTTCAGGTCCTTGGCCCATTTTTTAATTCAGTTGTTTGAGTCCCTTATATATTATGGATATATAACTGCTTATCAGAAGTATAGTTTTAACATGTTTTCTCTCATTCTTTGAGTTGCATTTTTACTTTGTTTTCTTTGCTGTGCAGTTTTTTAGTTTGATACTGTCTCATTTGTTCATTTTCAGTGTTGTTGCCTATATCCTTGTAGTTTTAATTGGAATTTTTCTGATATCTAGGGAAGTTGAGCACCTCTGAGTTCATCCAGGTATTGGATATTTGGATATCCTCTTTTATGAAGTGCTTATGTAACTCTGTTGCCTATTTTTCTAATACATTCTTGAGGAATTTATGTTGTATTTATCCAAGGTAAGCCACCTTTGAGTATTCCAGAAGGAGAAAAGTTATTATATTATTATTGATAACAGTACTGGTCATATCTTAAATTATATACTGTTTTATGAAGCTTACCAAGTACTGTTCAATGCATGCTCTGATTTGCCTTTCACACTACCTCCTAAGAAGAATAGATATATTGCCATCTACATATTACAGGTGCAAGACCTGAGGCTCAGAGGGGCTAAGGGAAACAAGGAAGCCAGGACTAGACACCAGTTTAGAACTGGAAAAAATTCATCTATATGGTGACTATTACATCTGTGCTACTTTCAAGTGTAGAGATGCAGAGATGCAAAGAATTGTTGATGAGATGTTTGAATGGAAAATAAAGAATGGAGATGTTTAAAATGGAGAGTCCAATCATGGCTACCACCCTCTAGCTGGCACACCATGACAGACAGTCTTATGGGGTGCCTCCAGGTTGTGTCAATTTTGAGCTTTGATGAGGTCCTAAGACACCTAAGACAGGGACTTGGTATCAGTATTCAATGTAATGACTTTTAAAGTGATTATATATGCTGTATAGATAGTATTTTTGAAGGTGTTATTATTCTTTAAATCCACCATTTTAATCACTACACTTCCTGGAATCTTCTTTTCCTTTTGGATTCCTTCAATTACAACTTCTCCCATTGAAAGAGCATCATATTTCATACCACTTGATTCCCCAGGCCATTTACTTAGATTGATTGAATAGTAGACTTGGGAAACAATTTCAAGGTCACCAAAACAACCCTCTCAGGATTTTGCAAATGAGGGCATTAAGACCCAGAGAGGTAAAGTGATGTGTTCAACATCACAGAGCCAGTTAATGTGGAGGATGATGTAAAATAAGCTGGGATGGTGGAGTTGACTTTAAATAGGAACGATTTTCAACAGGAATTGATTTTTTTAACAGTTTTATTGAGGTATAATTGATATACAAAAAACTGCATATGTTTAACATGTTTAACATGATGAGTTTGGACACATGCATACACCTGTGATAAAGTTGATTAAGCTGAGTTTTAAGGGAGGTGAAAAATTCCAGTATTCTACGGACAGAGGATTGTTTTCAGGACCAACAAGAATTTCGCATATCTGGATACCACTTTCCCGGGATGTCCCCAAGTCCAGGAGCATAAATTTAGGCAAGAACAAGCCCTTTGAGGATGCCTAGTTTTCTCTTGGGGTTCCTGGATGATGTGTTTCTTCATAGTCTAACCAATGAATTATGCAGGCTGCAAGCAGCAGCATTTTCAGAGAACTGGCTCACAATCTATGTGAATTATTTTGCAGAGAATTAATTTTCCAGTGGGTCAAATCAAGCTTTATTAGAAGCTTCACTTTAGGGAAGATAATATTCTTGGAAACCTCTCAGAAATTCAAGGTAGATCTTCCCGTACTAGATAGAGTACTTCTTATTTTAAGCAAAGTCTTTGCTTGCTTGAAGAAAAAATAAGCCTTTCTGATATAAAAGGGGGCATACTTGTGTTTTTCTGCTTTGTTACAATGTTTTCCGGGCTACCTCTTAATTCTTTCTTGATGAGGTGTACTGATAAAACAGCATTCCTTTCTATTTGGAGAGGAGGACTTAGACCTTTGAAAGGGGCCAGTCTTTTCCTTCTCTAGTGACAATGTCTCTTTGTGGAGTGGCACTCTCTTAACTGCATTTCTGGTGGCTCCCCTGCTGCAAGCCTCTGCTCCATAGCGCTGAGCCCCCTTGTTGTGTTTGTGTGTAGGGGAAAAAGTGGGGTTGGCAAAGTTCTAGCTCAGGAAAACCGCTGGTGTCTTTTATTTGTGACATTTCTGGTACACAAATCCAGAAATGTAATTCTTTATTTCAACCCTCAGTCATGGAGGAACACTTGTAAAGAAACAGTTGTTCCAATTAATCTTCAGCTATATCCTCCTGATTAATCTAGATTTTGGGCATATTCAGCCCAAATCAAAATGATTGACAAACCTCTGACTTTGTGGGTGGCATGGAATGGTGCTTTCAGAGCTTATGTCTAATCAAGGGAGCCCTAGGAGGTGGAGGCAAAATAGGTTTCCACGGTGAGGTGTCCAGGTTCACTGAGTGTTCCTACAAGTGACTCCACTCAGAAAAGTAAAAATAACACTGGACGGAACTCTATTCTTTACTACCAATCAATTGTGTAACCTTTGCCAATTCATAGAACTGTTTTGAGCCTCAGTGTTCTCAGGTGAAAAAGGGGGTATTTCTGTTGGAGTTCATCTCTAAGCAGCAGAAACTAGCTCTCACCACCTTAAATAGAAGAGCATGTTTTGGAAAGTGCTGTGCTGCCCATAGAATCTGCAGGAGGCTTAAGACTCAGGCTTGAGAAAGGGCAAGAAGCAGAGCAGATCCAGGAGCTGGAAGCAGGAATACCTGCCTCGCTAATGAATGGCGGGCTCACCTTCTTAGGCTGTTAGTTAGAGGTGTACTTCTGTTCTGTGTAAATATAGACAAACCAAGGCTGGTGCGGAGTCTTCACAATCATTCGGGATCCTGCTTGCTGAGCACCTGGTGTTTGGTTTCTCAGTTCACAACTGTGGATTTGTAATACCAGTACTTAGTTTACAAGAAAAAAAGTGATGGACATTTCCAGTCTTTTCACTTCTGATACAGTTTCTCTTCTGGAATATATATTCAGAATTTAGTTTCCTTGAAGATAGGTAGTACACTTACTGCCAACCTGAAGCTTGAAACATTTGATACAGTTTTAATTTTATTATATAATTATATAAATAAGTTGGAGAAGGCTCTGGAGCTTGACATACTTGACATTTAAATCTAACTTTGCAAAACCATTTACTGGGCTAGAAAAGAATTTGCTGTGCTTTCTCAAGTCTACCTGGGGATGTTGTCATAGGAGAATAAGGAGCATCCCTAGAAGGGGCAAAAGGTATGTTTGAAGTTGACTTTTATTTTCTATTCATTGAAGTAGATGATCTTGGTTAGGCCTTTCTCTGTGCCGGCCATACATTTAGCAATAGTTACTATGAACATTACATCCTTGGGAAATATTTTTGTGGAAATACACTGTCATTGAATACATCAGAGCCTTTCTTTCTGCTATTCTAAAAGTCATTTGGAGCTCAATTTAGAGAATTGCTGGTTTTAAGGAGCTGAAATTCATGCTATTCATTTAGTTTAGTGCATTTTAATCACTTACTTAAGAGTTTAACCATTTCAGGTCTTTTTCTTCATCTAAAAATTACTGAGGATATTTGCACATTGCCGCCAGATATTTTCAATCGGCAAGAGTTAAGTAAACCAAGGTGTTGACTTCACACGGGTTTTTGTTTTCATATTAGGAGATGGGTGGGGATTGCAAGAAAGAGCCTCAATCTTGGTTTTACGTCACATTTTGGAAAGGTAGTCTATGTATCTGGCATTCTCAAGGAGCACTGCTCTTGCAGCCATCAGTGACATGGATGAGCTGTGGAAATAGTGTCCTATTATTTTCCCATCAGATTCCCTGGTAGTGTCCCCCATAGGTATAGACTGTCATGTATGTCTGAGTGATGGAGAGTCCACACAGTCTCCATGGGCTGAATGTAGCAGAGGTGGCCAGACATACCCCCAAATTCATGCCCCATTTTTTATAGTAGACAGTCATCTCTGATAAGTAGCTACCAAGCAGGGGCTAAACTTCCCAACATTTCTTGCCTCTAGGCGTGGCCATGTAACTGTTTCTCACTAATGGAGTGGTCACGGAAATGATGTGTGTGGTATCTTGCCTATAGCATTTAAGAAGCAGGGATGCTGCTGCTCTGTTCTCTTTCCTCTTCTCCTGGCTGTATGTCGATGATTCCACCTGGGCATGGTGGGGCCATTGTGAAGAGGAATGCCACCTGTCAACTCATAATATCCACCTTTTATTCTTATCTGAGCAATAAATAAATTTTTATTGTGTTTGAACTGTTACACATTTGTAGGTCTATTTGTTGAATCAGCTAGCATTACCCTATCATAGAAAAGGAAATAGATTCCCTTGGGTAGACCTCTGACCTTGTCACTCTATGTTTATTGTGCCTTTGAAAAATCCTTTGTCCATCTGAACTCATTGTAGAAAGAGAAGACTAGGGTACATTTCCTGTGCTTGTAACATCTATAGGTGGGCACAGATGTATGAATGAAACTAACACTCCTTAGATTTATAAGTCCCAAGTTATTCTCCCAAATGTTTAGCTCATTGAGAGGAAGCATGGCATAGTGGTTGTGTGTAGGCTGTGGAGCCAGATGGGTGTAAATCTTGCCTCTGTTGCTTACTGTCTTTGTGAACTTGGGCAAGTTGCTTAACCTTTCGGTCTTTGTCTCTTCACTTGCAAAAATACTGGTGATAACACTGCTTATCTCAGAGGAATGTTAGGAGATTTAAATGAATTAATAAAGCTAAATGCTTAGGATGTTTTCTGGT